>NT_187519.1:303886-455829 GCF_000001405.40 Homo sapiens | reverse complement strand
ATTTATTCTTGGGCTCTGACAGGATTTGTTTTCGATCTTGTCATTATTTTTACTATATTCTTCCTAATAATATTTCTCCAGTGTTCTAGATTTCCTGACCGACAATACCAGTCTCATTAAGAGCTTACAAATGAGAACTGTGGAGGATTCAGGCACACTGGTGGGGTCTAGCTGCCTTGCGAGGTTACCTGCTGGGGCTTTAAAACTTTCCCAGGAACTCTTCTGCACTAAGGCACACAATTATGTGTGTGCACATGGCCCCCATCCTATGCAACCTTCCCAAGTCCCATTGAGTGATTTGCCTAGGACCTAACACACAACCTCTGGCAGAGCAACAACCACCTGGTGTATCATAAACAGGTGAAGATGAACAAACAATGCCCATTTCACTAACACTGGTACAAAGGCAATAAATTCCCCATGCATCTTCTTCGCCCTTTTTGTATGAATTGTTCCAAGTTAAATAGCAAGCAAATACTTTCCTTATTCTATCTCAAACCTTTCCCTTTACATGTCACTGAGAGAAAGTTACACTGCTTATCAAACATGCAGCCATGGACACACACTTGTTCCTACATCAAAATAAAACACAATAGAGCTCCTCTACACAAAGATAATGAGGGAACTATTTTGAAAATATGAAAGATTTGTTTAATGCAGACTAGAAAAACATCTCTTTGCATCAAAATAAGTGTCCCTCTTTATTGCATACTGATTATTTTCTATAGAATTTAAATTGTACATAAAATTATATTTGTGCCTTGTTTAATGTAAATTGATTGTCTCAATTATTGGGAAAGGATTTGAATTTTAATGGACTATTTTGCTGGAGATATGCCAAGCAAATCAGCAAAAACTCTAATAGCTCTAGCTGGAGGTACACAGCCAAACATTTAAATCAGGAAGAAGATGTGGTTCCAAGAATTGACACTAAAGAAGTAGTCTGAAAAGGTTTGTAAGCTTTTCTCCATGAAGAAGAAATCAGCTTTAACTTTCAGTGTTGGAAGATTCTGTGACTGTGAGGCTGTCATTTGGTTTCTGTCTGAAAAAACTGGAAAGATCCACACATGAGTGGAAAGAACTTTTGTGGCTATACTTTTTTTTTTTTAATGTTCTTTTTCCCTACAGATTAGGTTATCTATGAAAATCAGGGCTTTACACTGAAGGCAGAACTGACGTAAAATCCAGAGGCACTGTGTCATGCAAGCACTGAGACACACTTGAATGGGACGCTTCCTTGTCTTTGGGAAGGCCACACCAGGAGGTTGGCTGTAGACGCATCACAGCCACATGCCACGTAGTTACTGCTTGACATGTCTCCTTCTTATAATCCAGAGTCTATGACGTCAAACAAATCTCCTCCATTCTTACTATCACAGGCAAGAGCCGACCTTAGCCATCTTGCTACCCAGACGGTTGCAACATTTTTATTGTTCAATTACAACCAGTGATACCAGAGGTGCAGATACACATCTGCTGCAAATTGCCACCCTTCTACTAAAATCCTTTTCACAATTCCTCAATCTCAAGAAACACTGTTGATATAGATGTAAAAATCACCTCTTGGGGTAATATGATGATCTATTCACTTACACAGCAAAATGTACACCTCATTATTAACCAACATGAATTCATTTTGAATGCTACCAATTTGAGGTATTTTGTAAAAATACGAAGTTTTATTATAATAGTTTCCATCTTTAAAGAGCCTCTTTTTGCCACAGAGAGCTGATAGTACTAATATAGACACACATATAGATGTTATAACAGCACAGAATATAAACTAAGCTTTGGGCCAGTGAATAAAGATTTCTTCTGTTATTCATCAAACTTTTCTGAATGAATTTCTATGATGTTAAAGAATCAAGCTCAATATAAGACATTTCTTTCTATAACAACATTCAGAAAGTCTAGAAAGGGTCATAAATTATGATCAATGACAGTTGTGACTCCTCCTATGTGCTGATCTGACTTGTATAAAACAATCTCAATGTTAAGATACTCCAAAGTCTGTATGATATATCTGTACCTATATTTACATATATATATTTTAACAAACCTAGAGTTTTCTGACAACTAGATTTTTGATTAAAATTCTTTGTTCCCTAATTAGTACATCTCAGATTTTAGGTAATAAAATCTAGCCATATGAATTTGAAGAAAATGCTACTCCTAGGCACACCATTTACCATTTTACTGTAGAAGAGCATAAATTCTGACCACAGATTTCCTTCTAGAAATGAAGAGAGTATTCTAGAAATGAAGAACCAAAGCAACAGGACCGTGAAAAGAGAGCAGGAAAGTAATGTAAAATTGAGGGGAGTATCAGACAAAGAAAAAGATAAAAAAATAGCAGAGAAGTACCATGGGCTGGTTAGAAAACAATTCAGCATGAACAGCACGTTTGGCATCTTAATACCCATCCATCCCCTGTACCCACATTTGCAGAGGACTGTGTGAGCTTCACTTAGCAGCCAGAGTCAGCAATACATCAGCTAGATGGATGCCTACTTTCTTTTAATGACACATTTGCCTAACATATAAATATTAAAATTTACATTTGTTGGAAAAGAGTGACTCAAAAGCCTCTTTAATGCTGTTTTTCTATATTCATACAAAATGCCTTTAAAATACCGGCTCCTTAAAGCTGACTATTTTCCATAGATAAGAAGGAGAAAATGGTTTGGCCCATGTTCATATACAAAATAAATTCTTTTATGGATAATGGCCATTTTTAAACCAATTAATTTCTAGAAAACAAAAGCCCAGAAAATATCACCAGGAATAGATCATCAAGATATTATCACAAAACCAAACATTGACTTTAATCTGCTCAATTCCCATCACCAGCAGCCTGCATGCTACACACGGCCAAAACAATGCACGAAACTGCTCTTCCCCCTTAAATATACACATTCAGCTCAACAAAGGAAAACACTCTTCAAAAGCACGAAAGGCATTGCTTTCCTTATGTAATCACCTCAGAAGTTATTTTGTTCAAAATTACCAAAGAAATGTCAAAAAGCCATGGTATCCCACAAAGCAGTTAATTCATTATGTTTGACTGAGTCTAGATTTCAATCCTTTGTGCAACATCAAAAGTGCACAATTGGAACACTGCTGCCTACAGGGCCTTACACACAGCTCCAACCCCATGTCAATGCCTTCCAGCCATTTCCCAGAATTCCTGGAATTCTTCCTGGAACTGACCCATAGGCTCTCCGACAGGCAAAGTGAACTGCCCTTCCCAAGTCAGGTGAAAAGGGTCTGCCTTGGAACAAAACCTCTCAAAGGCAGCCTGAAATTCAGTGTTTCCTGAGACAAAAGCAGGGTCCTGTCTAGCAGCAGAGCTTATTTAGTTTTAAAGGAAGACCTGCTAGTTAATGTTTTTCTTTTCCTTTTTTTTTAATTTAATAATGATATACTATTAAGTGTGAATTGCAGAATAAAACCGAAGAACTTATTTTATTTAACAAAAACATACGTCGTTTTGTACACGCCAGGCAAATGCTAAGCTCATTTAAGCCTCATAACCCTATGAGGTGGGACCTTTTCCGTTTTTCTCTCCTATAATGAAGACACTGACTCACCCAGGGGTGAAGTAACTTGCACAAGGTCAACAGCAGGTTCAGTGGTGGGACTGGCACTAGAACCCAGGCAGAAAGCTCCGGAAACTGCATATCATTAACCATTATGCACCATATGCTCCATTAGCAATTAAAAAGTCTTTTTAAAAGCTCATTTAGTCTTGCTACAACCTGGGAAGCTTTCTAAGACACATTAGCCTGAAAGGCCCCTAGTAGAGAGAGAATTTGACTTAGATGTAACAAACACTGTCACTTGTAGTCCAAGCCCCGCTGAGAGGCTGGCTTGCTGGGGAAACTCAGGTAGTTAAAAGCATGGGCTCTGACATCAGATAGCCCTGCATTCCTAGACTAACAATGCCACATATTAGCTATGTGATGTTGGGTAAGTTATATAACTTCTCAGAGCCTCAATTTCCCCCTCTAGAAACAGAAGGCAATACTACTATCTCTACAGAATAGCTCCAATGATGTGTGTGTGTGTGTGTGTGTGTGTGTGTGTGTGTGTGTGTGTGATGGAGTCTCACTCTTGTTGCCCAGGCTGGGGTGCAGTGGCGTGATCTTGGCTCACTGCAACCTCCGCCTCCTGGCTTCAAGCGTTTCTCCTGCCTCAGCCTCTGGAGTAGATGGGATTACAGGCACCCACCATCCCACCTGGTTAATTTTTTGTATTTTTAGTAGAGACAGGGTTTTACCATGTTGGCCAGGCTGGTCTTGAACTCCTGACCTCAGGTGATCCACCTGCCTTGGCCTCCCAAAGTGCTGAGATTACAGGCATGAGCCACTGCGGCCGGCCAGATGATTAAATTTAAAATGGTAAACTGGGTGCAGTGGCATGCACCTGAGGTCCCAACTACCTGGGAGGCTGAGGTGGGAGGATCACTTAAATCCAGGAGGTTGAGGCTGCAGTGAGCCATGACTGCACAACTGCACCCCAGCCTGGGTGACAGAGTGAGACCCTGTCTCAAAAAATAAAAAATAAAATAAAAATAAAAGAAGAAGCAGTCACCAGTATTGTAACACATTATCACACATTGTTTTCCATTCTTCCACGCCTCACCTTCCATTCCCTCACTCTCACTGCCCAGGGACTACAGCCAAAATAAACATTCATATTTAATCCTTGCACAGGTTCTAAGACAGTAGGAATGAAGGAATTGGCAGCATCTTCATTGAAGTCACTCACTTGGTTAGTTAACATATCTTAAAACAGATATGGAAAGATACAAACCAGAGGAATGTCATAGGAATGGAAGTAGTTGGATAATGCGAGCAAAATCACTGGTGAAAATGTCAATAAACTCAGAGATCAGAAACAAACTGCAAAGTTAAAGATAGGCCATGATCAGCAGAAAGTTATCAGGAGCCACTCTGGCTCACCAAGTATGAGAAAAGCCTCATGGTACTGAAAACGCTAACATCACAGAAATGTCTTTCCCTTGTTTAAAACCCTTCAAAGGCCCCTCTCAGAGTGCTCAGAAGAAATCCTAAACATTTTTACATGGTTCAAGAGAAAGACTCCTCCAGGTCTAACTTCTGAGGGGTCTACCTCCTACTAGGAGGTAGGCAGGTGCACGCGCACGTGTGCATAGACACACACACACACACACACACACACACAATCACTCCCACTCTAACAATGGGCAAAAGCCAGATAATCTTCAAAATCATATTTTTTCTTGAGCCAATCAGAGAGCTGAGGTTGCAAGGTAACTAGCTGATGTAAATTCCAAAAGGTGACATGACTCTCTGAAGGCAGAACAATTGAACCGTTTTATCTTTGGCATAGCAAGGAAAGGGGAAATGGCCACTGTAAAAGTAGATAAAAGGAAAGCAGCCAACCTTTTAATGGGTTCTTAAAGTGTGGGCTAGTGTGCCAGCCTGGAATCCATGGGAGCCCCAAACACAAGAGGACAAGAGAAACCTGCACTCATTATTGAACACTTTTCCACAGCCTTCCTCCCCCCGGATGCGCACAGGAAAGATTGAAGGCGGGGCAAAAAAACCCACGAGCAGCTTCCCCCTCCGAGGTGGGGCATGAGGACATCCACTGCCCACTGACTAGACTATTTTTTCATATGAAGCAAACGCCTCAAGCTCCCGGGGGAGGGGCAAGAAACCTTCTCAGGAAAAAGGCCCACTGCCTCCAGGAGAAGGTGAGAGGCAAAAGCTGTCTTCCTCTGGGAAATGGGTGGAAACCTGTTGCCCTGATCCTAGGAAAAATGTGAACTGTCACTGAGGGAGGGCAAAAGCAAAATCCATTAGTGGTGTGATGGTTAATGTTTAAAAAACAGCTTTCTGGCCGGACGCGGTGGCTCACGCCTGTCATCCCAGCACTTTGGGAGGCCGAGGCGGGCGGATCACGAGGTCAGGAGATCGAGACCATCCTGGCTAACACGGTGAAACCCCGTCTCTACTAAAAATACAAAAAAAATTAGCCAGGCCTGGTGGCGGGTGCCTGTAGTCCCAGCTACTCGGGAGGCTGAGGCAGGAGAATGGCGTGAACCCGGGAGGTGGGGCTTGCAGTCAGCCGAGATGGCACCACTGCACTCCAGCCTGGGCGACAGAGCGAGACTCTGTTTCAATACAAAAAAAAAAAAAAAAAAGAATTCCTCCATGTCATTTTAGGATTTGACGATAGATATTATTTCTCAAAAGAATTGTGCCCTGTACCTCCAAACCTGGGTGACATGCCAGTCTGATGTACACAGAGAGCATCCTGGGTTTACTCTTACCGTAGTCTATTACACCTGTATGATTACCGTATACCTCCCGCACTGGATTCGAAGCTTCTAAAGGGGAAATATCATGTCTTTTTTCCTTTTGTACCTAGTGCTGAATGCATGTTAATAAATACAGGGATACATTAATAAGTTAGAAGGTGCAAAATAAAGCAAAAGACAGGCAATCTAGGTTTTCACATTTAATATTCAATGTTTAAAATTGTAGAGTCTAAGGCAAAGCAACAAACACAACTACAGAAATGAAAAATCAGATTTAATTTAAAAGTTCTAAGTTAAATTTTAAGTCTTAAGAGTTAAGATAATGAAAATTCTAATCAGTTCTGGATCTACCAAAAAGATAAACCAAAGAGAGAAAATCAGCTTTAGAGAGTGAATTGACTGAAAGAGGTTTACATTGGATATATGGAAGAAATTTTTCAGGGACTTTCAGCACTGAAATGTACCTTTTTTCCCCTCTGATATAAGAACAGAAATTTACCTATTCTGTCTTTTTGCGAAAAGACCTTTCCACAGATAGGTGTTTAATACTCACAGCCTCTTGTGGTTCTTTGTACAATGCTAACATGGGTGTAGCAATTATTATTAATTGAATATTTTTGTATTATCCACAGTTAATTGTAGAAAAAGCAAAAATAATAAACATTATAAAAATATTAAAATTGGCAGGTTATAGATGGTTTGTCAGAATTTTTGCCTCCAAACAGGCATTAGTTATTTCCTAGTACTAATATAAAATTTTCCCTCCCAGGAGTAGAAGTTAAACTCTGTTAGCCTTTTGTTTTTCTGTTCCTAAAGACTTAATGAAGTTACAATTAGGAATTTAAAAAGAGTGTTCCTCTCAGATGAATGTAGTTAACTGATCTTTGACAAACAGCAAAAGTAGTAGAATAGAGCAAAAATAGAGTTTTTAACAAATAGTGCTAAAACAACTAGATATCCATATGCAAAAAAAGAATGAATCTAGACAGAGACTTTACACCCTTCACAAAACGTAACTTGAAATGGATCACAGATTTAACTGTAAAACACGAAACTATAAAATTTATAGAAAATAACATAGGAGAACATCTAGGTGACCACAGGTAGGACAATAGCTACAACACCAAAGGTACGACCCATGAAAAAAAGTTGGGGCAACCCGCTCGGGACCCCTTCCATGCTGTGGAAGCTTTGTTCTTTTGCTCTTCACAAAAAACCTTGCCACTGCTCAAAAAAAAAAAAAAAAAGTTGATAAACATGATATGATATCATACAGAGCATGTTCAATGGTAGAGATATATCATGTGTTCGTCCAAACCACAGAATGTACAAAACTAAGGCTGAACCCTAATGTAAACTATGGCCTTTGGGTGATTATGATGTCCCAATGAAGGCTTATCAATTGTAACAATTATACCACTCTGGTGGTGGATACTGATAATGCGGGAGGCTATGCATGTATGGGGTATATGGGAAATCTTTGTACCTTCCTTTCAATTTTGCTGTGAACCTAAAACTTGCATAAAAAAATTTTTTAGAGTGTTCCTTATTCCTAACTATGCTGAAAATACGATTGTAAAGAAGCAACTAGATAGATATATCCCTCTTGAAATTTTACTTGGGGCTCATACTGAAAATTTTCACCATCGAATAGAGGACACACACACACACACACATTCACATGTTCACAAACACTTAGAACATCATAGGCATATCCCAAGTCGTGGTCCAAAATGTCGTTCCATAAATCAGTTGTTGAAAATTCAAAAGGCATTTTGCCTTAGAAATAACATTATGTAAACATGGTATTTTGGTTCACAGACTAACTCACAAGAGTCAATTTAACCTATAATATAAATAAACAACCATTTAGAATCTAAGTCTCTGAAGTTCCTGCTGCAATCCCAGAATCCAGAACAGAGCTCAGCATGTATTAAGGGCCTAATAAATATGTTGAATGAAGGATATGAATGAATAGCAATGTGAAACATTTGTTAAGCACTAACGTTGTGCCAGGAACTATTCTAAAGACCTTTTTGTGGATTATTTTAGGCAGTTTTCACAACCTACAAGGTAGCATTTTGGAGATCAAGAAAGTGAGGAAGATGAAGTTTAAGATTAAGGAATTAGCCCATGGAGCTACAAAGCAGCTACAAAGAAGTAAACTGAGGAAAGCCCAGAGAACTTGGTTTTAGGAAGGATGCTGTTACGTACGATGCATACTATCTCTCTACTTTTGGCTTTAGGTCTTAAAAACAAAGGACTAGATCTTGAAGGTAGCTTAAAGCATGTAAGTTCCATAAGGACAAGGCTGTCTACGTGTCCTTTGATGTATCCCAAGCACATCAGCAGTGTATAAGCACTCGGTAAATATTTGATGAATAAATCAAAGGGTGTCTTTTTCTTTTTCCTGGGTAGTGGGCCTATCCCAGGCAAAAGTGTAACATCATTTCTTTGGCATTGTCCCAACTTTGTTTTGTTGCCTCCTTTTCCCACTTAATGTTCTCCCTGGTAATCAGTTATAGCAGCTGCCTTGTCCCAGCTAAGGTAAATGCACAGCCTGCTTTAAATAACTCATTATCCATTCCCAGATCAAAATTCTAACTCCCACAGAGTGGCAAAGCTCCCAACTTATTGGGAGGGCAGCAGTCTGATCTGGCCTTCCCACCACAGTATAAACAAACGTGACTTCCAGTCCTCACAGGGAGTTCTCAATGCATACAACTGGCTCATTACAAAGGGACTGTTTGAACCCCAATTGGCTTACAATTTTTGAATAATTTGAAAAGGATAAACTTTTCTATGTGATTTCTAGTATTCGATTGTCTGTTGTTAGACCCCTTAGATGAGACAGCCTCCCTAATCCAAACATGTCAGTGGTCCAGTGAAACAAACTCTAGGGATAACGGAACATTTCAAAACAAGATGTAATAAGATTCTTTTCTAGCAACATATACATCTCTTACCATTTCTTCATAAGAGTATAATTTTATATTATAAAATAATGGCATATAAATCTAATTTTGTTAATTTGCTCTTAATAGCATGTTATCAGTTACTTAAAAACAAACATTTGCAAGGAGCAAATCAAAGGACTGCCTCTCTACAGCAAATTGCTGAGGTGGTGGCAGGAGGCAGGGATCATATATCTGCTTTAGCAAAAGAGATAATGGGTGATTCATTTCTGTATTACAAGTCATACGGGACTTAAAATGTAGTTACTGGGAAACCATTATACCACTGATGCAAGTATGCAATACTGCACCGTAGGGGGTTAACAAAACAATCCAAAACAAACTAAATTATTGTGATGAAGCTAAATTAACAGCAATTTATAATTAAAAGCAAGAAGAGCAGCATTTGAAAATGAAGATGACCTCAGAACAACGCTGATAACCTAGTAATAATTAGAATCCTTTCCCCAAATCATCAAAAGTCAAACTAGCAGCGCTTATGTTACATCACACAAGCTCTGCCGGGTGTGGAGGCGGCCAGTAGAATATTGCATTAGCATTCGCAGTAAGTTGTTTTGGCTTATAAAAACCAAATTTTAGTACTTTTAAATTTTTTACTTAATAGATTTTGAAACTGTCCATAAGAATTGACAAAAACACCTATACTCGGGGTGAGTCTTCTGGTCATCACTACCCAGGGAGCTTGGGTCTACACCTTGATCACTTTTCTAAGCAAAGGATGAACAACTCAAGACTGCCCCAGGGGCAGTGGAAGTTTTTGACCATACACTCCAAATCTCAATAACAGACCTTTAGGTCTATATAAAACAGAGAGAACAGGAGACTTAAACAAATAAACACTTTAAGGGCAGCCAACTCCTGTCTAGCCTGCCAAGGGAGGCTGGTTCCTCAGGAGAGACTTTCTTCTTGCATCTGGGTTTCTGGAGGCATGGCAGCAGCCAGGAGTGACCTCCCAGGAGATGGCAGGTGCTGCCATGGCTACTCTGCACTGCAGGATTGCAATACTTAGGCCAGCCCAAACAGAAAGGAAGTCTGCAGCCACGAGAGTGCGGCAGAGTATATCCTTTTTTTTTTTTTTTTTTTCTTTTGAGACGGAGTTGCACTCTGTTGCCCAGGCTGGAGTGCAGTGGCGCGATCTCGGCTCACTGCAACCTCCGCCCTCCGAGTTCACGCAGTTCTCCAAGGCAGAGTATATCTTTTACATCTTTGTGTCTCCAGGCCTAGCACAGTGACTGGTACAAAACAGATGCCCAATAAACACAGAATAAACTAAGTCTGGCATCAGGTTACCTTTCCAGCACCGTATCCATAAGCCTGCATTTATCAGCTCATATAATCTCTTCTGCTACAGCTGCTGCGATGGCAACGGAGGAGGTGACCCTTCGCCCAGTTCACTATCATTTTCTGCTCAGTGCTTGGTATCCCAACCCACCTCTCTTCTCAGGAACCTTATACGCCGCACTTTGTCTACCTCAGCGTCTCCAAATTTCTTTTGACTCTCAAACCCCCTCCATAGAAACACATGGAATTTATTAAATCATCTCATTATTATATATAATAAAGAGGAACTTTTTAAGTAAAAGCATTTCATTTAAAATAAGCATAAGTTTGAACTTTGTAACATAAAATTTTAATTTTCCTGTGCAATAAATAATGCCACTATTTCATTTACATAAATTAAATCCATAGTGAATTAATTATGAAAGAAAAAGGCACCATTGGCTAATAACGTCTTCACACCAAAAGATACTCTAAAACATAGATTTGAAATTAAACCCATGTTATAAAATCAATAACAAATAAAAACAATTTCATGATTTGTTTTGAAATGTTTGCTTTTTGAATATAAAATTCAACTGCTACTGTTACAGCTTTCTCTCTTTTTTTAATTTTCCCATTTTTTTAAAACTTTTAAGTTCAGGGGTATACGTGCAGGTATGTTATATAGGTAAACTTGTATCATGGGAGATTGTGAAGAGATTATAACTGTCACCCTAGTATTAAGCCGAGTACCCATTAGTTATTTGTCCTGATCCTCTCCCTTCTTCCACCTCCTCCCCTCAGGCAGGCCCCTGTGTCTTCTGTTCCCCTCTAAGTATCCATGTGTTCTCATCATTTAGCTCCCACTTACAATGAGAACATACGGTATCTGGTTTTTTGTTCCTGCACTAGTTTGAAGAATAATAGCCTCCAGCTCCATTCATGTTCCTGCAAAGGACTCTTTTTGTTTTTAAATTATGAGATAAAGATTAAGATTTCAGGCTTCTATTTTCAAGCACTTTTCTGAAAATAGTAAATAGTGTTAATTCCCCAAATTAAAATGTCAAATTAGATAGAAATCAATATTATAATTTGTATTTTTAACATTGGCTTTTGAAGAATCAAATTTCTATGACAAACATAGAACTTACGGATTTGGTAAAGATCATCCTGAATCTAGTTTATAGAAGAATTACCTATTTTAAACTCATTACTAGATTGTTACACTTCGATCAGAAGCTGCATGTCTTTAGACAATGGTTTTTATGGATATACTTTAAACAATATATTACCATACAAAAGGGGGAAAAAACTCCTGTAAAACTGTGTAATTGACGAAACCCCCGGGATTACTGGGAGTCGGTGACAGTGAACGCCCAGATGAGAGGACACAGGTGCTCAGCAGTGCTCCACTGGCTCTGGGGCTTGTCCACTCTGTATACACTGGGGGATTTTCACACAGCTCTATTTTCTAGGGAGAAATAGGTGAATTGATACTTACTTTAAAATAAAAACAGAAAAAAAAAATGGCACTGCCATCTTTAACATGAATTCCCTGGACTGCCTTTGTGGACACCAGGGGTTCCAAACCACCAGTTGAAAATTTAACTTTCTTCGTTTTTACAACTTGAATGATCTTTACCATCATTTGAACATTAAATTCATGGCCAAAACGTAACGCTTGATCTCATCCCAAACCCAGGCCATCTCAACCCCAAACCAGCTTCTTTAGAGTGTTCCCTAGTTCTCAGTAAGTAGCAGCACTAGGCACCCATTGCTCAGGTCAGAAATATGGGTGTCGTCCTTGACACGCTCCTCTTCTCCACCCAGCACTGCCAATCAAGTAACTCCTGCTGGTTCTACTTCCTACACATTTCGCCAGTGTTTATTTCTGTCACCAATATTAGCATTCCAGTCCAAGCATCATCATTGCTTGACTAAGTCCAAAAACTCCCTAATCGTTTTTCTGTTTGTTTGATTTTTTAGACAAAGTCTCGCTCTATCACCCAGGCTTGAGTGCAGTGGTGCCATCTTGGCTCACTGCAACCTCCGCCTCCCGGGTTCAAGTGATTCTCCTGCCTCACCCTCCCGAGTAGCTAGGATTACAGGCGCTCGCCACCACACACAGCTAATTTTTGTATTTTTGGTAGAGACGGGGTTTCACCATGTTGGCCAGGCTGGTCTCGAACTCCTGACCTCATGATCCACACACCTCGGCCTCTCAAAGGGCTGGGATTACAGGCGTGAGCCACCACGCCCGGCCCATAACTGGTCTTGAGCAAACACGATGGCTCTGTTCCAATCTGTTATCTATTGTGGAGTTAGAATACAATTTTTAAATGCAAATCTGATCACATCTCCTCTATTTTTTAAAAAATCTTTTGATTTCTTCCCATTAGTAACAAGATAAATTTAAAGGTCCATGATAAAAACATAAAGACCAGCCCGGTGCGGTAGCTCACGCCTGTAATCCCAGCACTTTGGGAGGCCGAGGCTGGCGGATCACGAGGTCAGGAGATCCAGACCATGCTGTCCAATACGGTGAAACCCCGTCTCTACTAAAAATACAAAAAATTAGCCGGGCGTGGTGGTGGGCGCCTGTGGTCCCAGCTACTCGGGAGGCAGGAGAACTGCGTGGACCTGGGAGGCGGAGCTTGCAGTGAGCCAAGATTGCGCCACTGCACTCCAGCCTGGGCGACAGAGAGAGACTCCGTATCAAAAAATAAATAAATAAAATAAAATAAAAACAAAAACATAAAGACCCTGCCTTTAGGTCCAGCCCTTTCCTACCTCTCCAACCTCATTGTATGCCACACTTTCTGTTTTCCTTTATGTTGGACACACAGTTCTTGCTCTTCCTCCAGTACTATGCTTTCTTATCTCAGGAACTTCCATTTTATAGATTTTCTTTCTCTAGAACAGGAGTCAGTAAAATTTTTTAGGAGAGGGCCAGATAGTTTGCCAATTCCTGATCTAATCCCACTGCTTACCGATTCAAATGTCATGTTCTCATTGAAGCTTTTCTTAATCAATGTTAAGTGCCCTGCTGGGGACAGTGGCTCACACACCTGTAATCCCAGAGATTTGGAAGGCCGAGGCGGGAGGATGGTTTGAGGCGAGGAATTCAAGACCAGACTGGACAACATAGCAAGACCTAGTACCCACAAAAAGTTTTAAAAATTAGGCCAGGCATGGTGGCTCATGCCTGTAATCCCAGAGGACGCCGAGGTAGGCGGATCACCTCAGGTCAGGAGTTTGAGACCAGCCTGGCCAACATGGGGAAACCCTGTCTCTACTAAAAAATACAAAAACTAGTTGGGCGTGGTGGCAGGCGCCTGTAATCCCAGCTACTCCGGAGGCTGAGGCAGGAGAATTGTTTGAACCCAGGAGGCGGAGGTTGCAGTGAGCCGAGATCGCGCTACTGCACTCCACCCTGGGCGACAGAGTGAGACTCTGTCTCAAAAAAAAAAAAAAAAAAAAAAAATTAGCAGAGCATGGTGGTATGTACCTGTAGCCCTACCTGCTTGGAAGGCTGAGGAGGGAGGATCACTTGAGCCCAGGAGTTCAAGGTTACACTTCAGCCTGGGCGACAGAGTGAGATATTCTCTTAAAAATAATTTTTTAAAAAACAAGTTCCCTTATTAAATGTACTTGTACCACAAAATATATTTCTCCTTCATAGAACTGGTCATTACTGTACAGTTGGCCCTTGAGCAACATGGGGGTTAGGAGCATCAACCCCCTGTACAGTCAAAAAATCCATGCATAACTTTTGACTCCTCTCAAATTCAACTACCAACAGCCTACTGTTGACCAGAAGCCTTATATTGATAACATAAATGGTTGATTAACACATATTTATATGTTATATGTGTTATACACTATATTCTTACAATAAAGTAAGCTAGAAAAAATATTAAGAAAATCATAAGAGAAAATACTTTTACAGTACTGTACTGTTATATATTGATGCCATAAGTTTATAATGTCTGTTTATAAGATGAATCATCTGAAATGACAGGCGGCTGCAGCTGCAAACTTCAATCTAAGCTACATATCCTGCAATGCAACTTTTGCTTGTAACGTCATGACTTTTCTCTGCTTCTTGGAAGTACTTCCAACATCACTAGTGGCACTTCGTATGGGTCCCACGGTGTTATTCAAGGTTTATGTATTGCACTAAACATGATGAAAAATACACAAGAGCTGCAATAGATCACTTGTTATTGCAATAAGCAATTTACTGGAGAGAGAAACTGTTCACATGCAGACGATTTAGTCCACACAGCGTTTTCAGTGGATACTTACAATACTTGAGCTCCTCGCAATAGCAACAGGAGGTGGTTACAAAATTATCACGGTAGTACAGTGTGTGCTACAGTTAACTTCATGCAGTTACGATCTAATACTGCACCTTCACATTTGACATTTCTCTCAATTGCAGATGGTACCATGTATGATCTGTGTTTGTGTGTGTAAGTTTGGATAAATTTTAACTTTTTATAATAGATTTGCATATATTTTATGGTAGTCAATGATAAAGACCAGTATCTACAGATGTTTTATGTATTCATGACATACTTAAATTTAAAACTTCTTTTCATTATTTCTAGGCTACATGGTTTGTCTGCAGGTTTTTTCAAATTGTTGCAAATCTCCAAAAAATTTTCCAATAAATTTATTGAGAAGAATCTGTGTATAAATGGGCCCAAACAGTTCAAATCTGTGTTGTTTAAGGGTCAACTATAATTAATTAGACAGTTATGAAATTCTTTTGCTAATATCCATCTTCCCTATAAGGATGTATACTCCATTAGAGTGGGAACTATATCTACTTTGCTATTTTATTCCAGCATGTGGTAGAAAATGTGACACACAGCAGCAATCAATCAATCAATCAATCAATGTTGAATGAACGAACCATTAATTTGCCACCTGACCTTCATTCGGCACGTTTGTCTTTCTTAGGCTTAGTTCTCCATCTGGAAATGGAGATGATAAATGCAGCTACTTTCAAGGTTGCTTCAAGGTACATAAGGTACTATGTGTGAGAGCATTCTAGGAACTCTAAAGCAATACACAAATGTAAGAAAATAAATGGAAAGATGCCCCAGGTGCACAGGACTGGGGCAAAGGCTGGCCCAATGGCCAAATCCTCTGGCTCATTTTGTTGGTCCTCTAGCTAAGAATGGTCTTTACTTTTTCCAAGGGTTGTAAAAAACACAAAACAAGGAAGACTATGCCACGGAGACCACGTGTGGCCTGCAAAGTCCGAAATATTTACTCTCTGGCCCTTTACGGAAAACGTTTGCAGACCCCTGGCCTACAGAAGTGCCTGGGCTTAAGTAAACATTTTAATAGTGAATGAATAATTATTACTTTGCAAGTATATCCATATTTTGGTATTTTGATAACTGACAAGCAGTGCCATCATCTGACTGCCTGTCTTCATTCAATAAAGCAAGTAATCAACGTAAAAATACCTCCCCCCCACCCCAGGCTAATATGCTTACTTTACATTTAAAAAAATACAAGGAGTCTATAAATATTTTCATTTCCTTCAATTATATCAAGAACTGTTTTTGAAACAGAGAAGGCATGGATGGCTGGGAAATGGTGTGGGGATGCCGAGCTGGAGGCCACGCGAACCGTGTCCACTGGAAGGGTGGCTGCTATCATCGTGCATGCGGTTGTCATGTGGAAGTCCAAGTCTACAGAAACCTATTCACTGTCTGCTGTGAAATACTGAGATTATTTTCTGCCCAGGGAATCCATTATCACACAGAAGTGAGAAATGGCACATGGATAAAAAATAGTAAGAGGCTGTGTTTATTGCCAAAAAAAAAATCCCCATTACTGCACAAAAAGAAAAGGATTTTGGAGTCAAAAGATCAAGATTCAAGTCTGAACTCTACCACTTATTCCATCTGTCACTTTGAGCAAACCTATTAGCCTCTCTGAGCCGAATTTCTTCATCTAGAAAAAGAGAATAATAATTATTGATGACATTTAGTGGGTGGCCTTTATGAGCCATGTGCTTTGCCATATTATATTTGATCTTTCCATCAAAATGCAAAGTAGATATGATTAGCGCCAATATATAGGTGAAGAAACAGTCACTCAGAGAACTTAAGTGACTTGCTCAAAGTAACACCACCAGAAAGAAGTGAAGGTTTTGTTTGTAGTCAAGTTCTGACTCTAGCAATGCTATTAGTGCAACCTCTGATAAGATGTTTAACCTCTTTAGACCTACTATGTGCTTTACCTTACAAAAAGCATATAAAATCTAATTTCTAGGAGAGATAATTTGAAATTCCTCCATATTACAATATTACCAACTTACACCTTAAAGGAAAATGGCTTTCCTCCATTCTTCCATGTTAAATCTAATTCTATGTCTTCAGAGAATAACAAAAAGAGGATGTACTCTCCTCTTTGTATATAATAAGAACAACCTAAATTAAGGAAGCATAAATACATAAAATAAAGTATTAGATTTTGAGCATGTCACAAGTAGCATAATGATGATGAATTCTACTTATTCCGCAGCAATTCCCCTTCAGTGTGTAAACCAAACACATTCAATATGCGGCACATGAGTTGACATGAAACCTTGATTACCTTTGCTTCATCGTCTCATGTACTCTCCCATGCTGGACACACTGTTCCTCCAATTCTTCATTTCTTCTCTGTAACTTTCCCAATTTATCATATGTATACCTTTTTTCTTGACTGAGTTGAGCTATTTCAGATCTAGAGGTGAAAACACAAAAATAATAGATGTTAGAAGTTCTTATTACTAGGGCATATTGTTATTATATAACCTTAACATTATCTTAAACTCCACACTTAAACATGATAGCATAATGAAAACTACATCCTTTGCAAAAGAAAATATTTCAGAAATGGCAAGATACATTGTAGAGACTCATGTGTTAGACAGAAAAAGGAATAACAACTTACTCTAACAGAAATGGCTTCCCTAAGGAATAAGACAAACATGATAATGATCAAATCTCTTTTTTAAAAGACTGTCATTCATTTAACAAATACTTACTGAGTGCTTGTTATAGGCCAAACACTATGCTGTCAAAGAAGAAACCCTAGGCCTAATTTCTATAACAGAGTTTCTTTTAATTAACATAACCAGTTTAATGGCACACAGTTAAAATAAAAATAGTTCTTTAATGGTTAATTTTATGTGTCAACTTCTTTGGGCCATGGTGCCCAGACATTTGGCCAGACATTATTCTGGACATTTCTGTGAGGGTGCTTTTTAGATGATATTAACATTTAAATTAGTAAACTTTGAGAAAAGCAGATTGCCGTCCATGCAGGCAGGCTTTATCCAATCCACTGAAGGTCTTAATAGAAAAAAGATTGACCTCCCCTGAGCAAAATGGGAATATCTTGTTTTTCGTGTCTTAGATGACAATCCAAGTCTCAAAATTTGAAGATCAGAAAGATGTTTATCCAAGAAAAATTATATTCCTTTCCTTGTATTAAGTAAACTCTAAATTACTGCCTACTGCCACCATCTCCTCATGCCCTAATGCCTAATCAGTTAGAATGGAAAGTTTAAAACTCTTGTATATTATGAGTCGTTTTCAGGTTAATGATTGGATTGTTTTCTGAAGACTCCTGACATAAAATTAATTCCCTTCAAAGAAAGAATTCTTCCAGTAGGCAAGATAGCCTTTTCTTCCTGGTCAGAAAAGGATTTGGATTTGCTAAGGGAAATCTTACTTTACAAATTGTTCATCCCAAGGACCAGGCTGCTCACGTGTATGGAGCAAAAACTCTTGCTTTTAGTTCACCTCATTCTTCATTTTGTTTTCATCTTGGTTCAAATGTCATCCAAAAGGAAGCTTGCCCTGATTGATACCTTGCAGTTCTCAATATGTCAGCACGTTTTTTGAAGCTACCTCTAGCCTTTATGCATACATTAGCTTATAATTTATTCTTTTAAATTGTGCTCTGTGCCTTGTCTTTCCTACCATATTCTGTATGAGAGCATGGATTATCTCATTTTCAAGTTCAGATCAAGTGCTCAATCTACATTTGCTTCTCCTAATAAGAATCTACCCATATTTGAAATAGTCCGAAAGGAGTTAATAATGACTTACGTTTCTCCTTTCAGAATCACATACAATACAAAAGAATTTAGAGGCAGTTATGATAAATTTTTGATCTGGTATCCCTTCCAAGATTAGTATCTCCTATCATACCATGCACTAAAATAAATTTCAAAAGAAGAAAAAAAATCCTTAAACCAGATTAGAAAAAAATGCAGAACATTGATCTTTTCCCAGGCACTTTCCAAGCAAAAGGCACTTTTAAAAAGAAAAATCACAAAGAAAAAAATAGATTTTACAATATAAAAATACAAAACTTTTATGCATAAAAAAATCACATTTAAAATATATCATAGGTTTGTGTGAGAGTATTCATTGTAGCATTGTTTCTAGAAACAACCTTTCTTTGCAACCCATAATCTGGAAACTTAACCAAGAAATCTATCAACAGGAGCTTGGTTATGTTACTTATTATTCTGATAATGTGGCTATTTATAAGTGATATTTATTGATCTAAAACTGTGACATATTAGTAACAAAGAGAAAACATTAAAAGTCAGCATGTGTAATGTGATTTCATTTTATAATTTAGAAAAATATTTTGACATGCATACCAACTATTAATATTGGTTATTTCTGGATGGTAGGATCAGGAATGTTTTCTCTGTTCTGTATTCATCCTTTTCCATACTTTCTAAATTTTTAAAATAGATATGTATTTTATTTGTTTTAAATAAATTCATTCTGATTTTGAAAAAAATCATAATAAAACAAAATGTAGATGTCACTGGTGGGGGAGGTTGTGTGTGGAAGGAACAGGGAATATATGGGAGTTCTGTACTTTCTGTCCAGTTTTGCTGTGAACCTAAAACTGCTCTAAAAAATAAAGCTTATTAATTAAAATCAATGTAAACAACAGGAAATTATTTACAAAAATAAGACAAACATTAAAAGCATAATTTAATGAAACACTAACTGCACTCTCCATCAAAATTCCAATTAAAAAGTATAAGAAATATTGAAAATATCTACAGAAGAAACACAAATGATCAATACCATTTATAACATATTCAATTTCACTATTATTCAAAAAATAGCACAACAAAACCAGATACTACCACCAAATATTTACTGCATGCCACCGTATAACAAACAGTGAAATCCATCCTTTACATTCATGATCTCAATTAATCCTATAAGGTACTTGTAAGGGTTTCTTTTCTTTTCTCTGTGAGGTAAACATGAAGTTGAATAATTTGCCTAAGGTCATCCAAGTAGTCAAGCCCAGATATTACTTAGTCCACCTCTAAAGGGGTGGTTCCACCCACCTGTGCAATATTGCCTCTCATGCTTTTTTAAAAAAATCTCACTTCTTTGTAATGTTATTTACTAATATGGCTACATATACAGTTATTAGAAGTTAGTGTAGTACTTCAGCAAGGTAAAACACATCAACACCCTTAAAAGGATTAATCGTCTTGGACCAGCAATTAAGGAAACAATCAAAAATTTAGATTTAGGTACAAAGTTTTTGTTGTATTATTATTCATAAACGGTTAAAAATTGGAAGCATCTTAAAAGCCTAATAATTCTTATACACGCAAATCATTTAATAAAGTTTTGTTTTCAGAGTATTTACTGATATAGAAAAATGTTCATTAGATATCAAATGAAAAAGCAGACGCAAAACTGTATATACGGTATAATCTCAATCACACTATAAATGTACACAGACATACACATGAAAAATGACTGAAGGGAAATATATCAGAGGTAAGAATAGTTATCTCTAGCTGGTAGTGGCACAGGAAATTTTCCTTAATTCTTCTTTGTATTTTCCAAATTCCCTGCATTGAGGATGTCTTACATAATCCCAAAAATATAAATGTTATTTATAAAGTACACATCACTATCAAGTGTGTATTGCAACAATCTTTTTTTCTGCTTCACATTTTTGTTTTTTTCTTTGTTTATAATTGTAATTTGCCTACCAACTTCCATTTTTCAATAAAAATTTGACATATATGCCTGCACATCATCCTTTTTCTGTCTGCAGCTCACGATATGTTCCTAGAACTAGTAGTTTGCAAAGCTCAAAGAGTAAACTTACAAGTTTTCTGTTAGTTAGGAGATACATTTCTGGCATGATTATCCTGTGTCATATAAAAGGATAATTGACTCTAATCCATTTTCATAGAAAATTCAGGCAATTTCTGGCTTTACAGAAGCATGAACTTTCCCCTGTATTTTTATATACCAGTTATGTTGCATAATTGCATTTGCATGAAATATATTTTACTACTATAATTCGGATTAAAATGATAATTGCTTTCAAAGGGAAATACAATATCTTAATTTTTTATTCTTTTAGGTTCTAGTTTGACTTTTGGTAACAATTAGCAGAGGCCAATATCAGTCTCCTCTTGTAGAAAATATAATTTTTATAGTATCCCAACCTAACATCATCTAAACATGCAAAGGAAAAAAACAGTTCAACCGGGTGTGTGTTCTTCACCTCAATTAAACTCACACAGTTGGATACCTACTGTTGCCAAAACAGTAATATAATTTACACATTATAGTCCACACAGTAAAACTACACTAAAAGTCATTTAACAATATTTATAACACCATAAAGTATAGTGTTAAAATATATGAACTGCAATATGTACCAAAATTATAAAATTTGTTTCTCATCATCAGTGATTAAAACCGGGATCATTGCTCTAGCCTCAATACTCACAACCCTGGTGACAGATTAGAATTCAAATCTTAATGATCAATTTACAATTAACAAGATAGAAGTGAAACAAATTAAACCAACCATTATATATAAC
This sequence comes from Homo sapiens, assembly GCF_000001405.40. Classification (NCBI taxonomy): domain Eukaryota; kingdom Metazoa; phylum Chordata; class Mammalia; order Primates; family Hominidae; genus Homo; species Homo sapiens. The sequence goes on along the minus strand of NT_187519.1, from coordinate 434,375 downwards.
GAGACCCCATGGACTCCCATTGTTCCTCTTAATTACAAAACGCAAATCACAAATACACAATGGGCAGTGTTAGACATCAGTCCACAAGCCTCACAACCCAGAAAGTGACAATGACAGAAAAGAAAGAAGCAAAACCACATAGACCCTGGTTCTATGCTCTATCCTGTTCTTTTCAGTGTGCAAGAGGTGGAAGCTAAAACCTAGCACACACTTCTCTCCACTCTGTGGCTGGCAGAGGCTCACTCCCTGCCAGCACCCAATCCTTCCAGCTCTCCCAGGCCAGGTGTTAGATAGCACTGCAAACCGCACTGCAACGTTTTACTGCTGATTCATCTAAGCGCGTGGGGAGAGAGAACACTTCCTTCACTTTGATAAAGAAAAATCACAGTTGTACCGAAGATATTTAAATAGCTCCGTTTACCTCCTTCAAAAAACAACCCCATAACTATAATAAGCTCTCAGAGTACTGGGGAATACAGAAGGAAGGATAGCGAAAGTTTATGTGAGCTTCAACTAAAATCAGCCAGAATGTCTGCCTGGTGCCAATTAAAAGCAAAATGGAATTAATTCTCTTGCCTGATGGTCAAAAACAAGCTATACAACATGCACAGAATCGGCAGTTCATTTTAAGTTTTAAAATGGGACGTGCCATTCACAAACCCCGGGGTTACAGACACCACTACGTGCAGTGTGGAGTACACAGAGCGCGCAAACTACTGTGCTAATCACTATGGAGGCTTCCAGAAAACAGAAGCAGTCGTCACTGCCATAATGCGACTTACGGTCTCCTTGGGGAGAAAACACATACAACAGACACACACACGGAGGTACCATTTCAAAACATTTTCACAGAGCAACAGAGCAGCCTAGCATGAAGCTGGGGCAGAGAGTAAGGGCGTACGTGCACGCCGAGCCCATGCTCTCAGCTTTCCCGTCATTCTGCATGGGCTTCAGTCAAATGACTAGATCTGTGAGTTTAAAATCTTGTTTTAAATGGTAGGAATCTATTTGTTTAGTTGGTATTTTGAAAAACAAGACTCTTAGAGTAATGTTGCTAGTAACAGAGGAAGGAAAAATATGTCTTAATTATTGCTCAATACAAAATAAATACACTTACTTTTCAAGAAGAATTTTACTGTAATACTCTGAGGAAAAGCTGGACCAAAATTACCATATGGATTGCATAAGTATAAATTTGGAGACTGAGTTTCCACAATGACAAAACTTTAGAAACTCCAAGATTTTCCTTACCTCAAAGCACAGGGAAAATTATTTATCCCAATAGTTTGGCATGGGGTATGCAGAGGCACACTCCTGGAGGGCTTCTTCAGAGTTTACTACATTAATAATTTGTATTTTAAAAGAAGCAGTTTAAGCCCTTCAAGTTTTATAGGTGGTTTCAAAGCAGAAGGTAACATCAAAATGGAATGTAAAACTTAACATGAATGAGTTATTGAAAATGTCATAGTAAGAAGCCAGGGAGAAATGAAACTGGAACTAAAAGAAATTAAGAACAAACAACCCTAAAATCAAAATTTGTCCTATTCACTACCTTCTTGTGAGGCACACAAAATGCACTTTTCGTAAGTTTTAGGGGCGCTTGAGAGTTTTAAAAATAGTAAGTAACAATTTATCAAGTGTTTACTACTTGCCAGGCCTTGGTTGAGTCAAATTGTAAACTTAGAGTAGGTGCCTGCTTTAATTCATCAGAGTTACAAAATACAACTAGATCCACATTTTCCTGATCTGGCTGTTTTAAAAAGGCTTTCATTGTGGCATAGACTTATGTCCGTCGGAAAATGACAGTCAGACTTTCCCTGGCAAAGACAATAGCTATGTAAAGTGATACCCAAATTACCAGTCAAGACCCTTAAAAATGCCACCAGTGAAAATAATAGCAGCTACTGTGTATTACTATGTGTCAGGCACTGTGCTAGGCACTTGATACGTGTATGTATGCGTATCTATATACACAATTCTAATTCCCATAACAATCCTGCAGTGTGGCTTTAGAAATGTTTTTACAGAAGGAGAAGCTGAGGTTTGGGGAAATGAGGCCATGTACCCAAGGTTACAAAGCTCCAAGTGGGAGAGTGAGATTCAAACCTAGTTCCTCTGAATTGCCATGTGTTCTTTACTGCACACTGTCAGCCATCAACAATGGGACAGACTGGCATCAGAAGTCAGATCAGGAGGTGCGAATAGCACCACACCTATTTGTTTCATTCATTCATCATTTATTCATTAAATGCCATCTATGTCAGATACAAAAGAATACATCCAATTTACAAAGTACTGTTCAGGAGCTGGAGGAATGAGAAGCAGGAGGAGCAATAGAGGTTCTGAGTTAGACCAGTACAGGCTAAGATGACAGATCTAGAGGAGGAAAAAGAGGGCCTAGGGGCACAGAGTAAGTTAACCGTTACATGCCAAGGACGCTTACTTCTCCACGGAAATTTAAAGGTGAATTTTTCCTTCCCAAACTTTCTCATCATAACTACTGTGGCTTGAATTTTCTTTAGCAATAGATGTAAAATACTGTAATTACCATAAGAAAGAACGTATACTTTGGAACCAGAAATACCTATGTTAGAACCGTAGCTCTCCCACTCACCAGTTATTTAAACAGTTTTGGTTTCCTTATCTGGAAGATAATAATTCCTGCCTCAAGTTGTGGTGAGAATTAAATAACATACCAAGCACCTTTTTGTCTCTTTTATATAATAAATTTCCCTAATTAGGTCTCCTTGGAGAGCAAGATCACTAATCATTCACAAACCAATTTTAGACCTAATACATTTATATAAAACCCAGATTGATATCATTTTATCCCTAAATGATACAATCTTGTTTGTTTGCTTCTAACAAATTACTTTTGGATCTATGTGGTGCAAATCAAGTATTTCTGGTTAAGAATAGCTACTGTTGATATTTTATGGGTCTCTTTCATGACAAAATCATTTGGTTTTCTTGGTCAAATTTCCTTGAAATATCTGGTATTTTGGCACCTAGGTTTTCCCCTACCAAAATACAATCTTAGTATACGCTAGGAAGGTGCGCATGTCAGAGTACATTCTTGGTGGTTACAGGAGCCTCTGCCTTCCTGGTGAGCAGGGAGAGTTGGATGCACGAGCCCTCTGATTCCCCAAAAGATTCAGGGATGGGGGTTCTATCAGCTAAGACAGCTTGTTGATGCAGGATTCCAAGATGGAGCTCAGAGTGATCAGATATGCCCTGATACTCCCAGAAATCCTTCCCGAATGAAACATCTAGGTCAGTAGTTTGTTTGCTGAGCCATATTTCCTGCTCTCAATAGATCTATGTGAGTTTCAGAAAAATGCAGAAAAGAAGACACACAGGCAATTTTTTCATTGAGTTATCATATAAAGTAGTATTTGACATCTTATCAGTTATGTGAATATTGCCTTCTATAGTTCAATTTAAAGTGATTCTGTCCAATGTCTTTCATTTACAAAAGAAGAAACTATAGTCCAAGTAGGTCAAATACATTTGTCCAAGATTATTCAGTTACTGTCGGAGCTGAGATGGGGAGTCGGGCTTCTTGCAGTTTAGAATATGAAATAATTTATTCATTGAGATAATCTGACTAGAAAGTGTATAGAAAAAAGTCATTAAGATTCCAATCAATGGATTTATAAAAGAGTAGTATGCTATAAAATGAATGATGGCTGTTCTATTAAAATATAACAATTTTAGGAGAAGGGAAGAATAGTTTTGGTTTATTTATTTCAAAGTACCATCTACTTTCATTTTTATATATACACATTTCATCTGTTATCATTTAACCTAAAGACAGCTTTTGTGTTCATGGTGAATTGTAACAATAGATTAAAATGTGTTAACCATACCTATGTAAGATTTTATAACTGCTTGATTTATCTGCATGTTTATGTTATTACCATATTGATCCTTCTTTCCTGAAATTTCACAGTTTTCAATTCTAAACATTGAAATGTCAAATAATAGTACATACACATAACCATGAAAAAACATAAAAGCGTATAGACAATTAAGAAAATGTCCATATGTAGAAAATATTTTCAAAGAAAACATCAGCAGATACCTAATTTTGACATTAGACTATAAAACAGTGCAAATGATGTTTTTTAAGGAAAAATTAGAGTAATCACACAAACAGTGCTCTTGAAAGTATTCTATAACATCACCTACCTGGTTTTTTGAGAGATTTGTTCCAGTTTCTTGGCTAATGTACAGCATTCTTCCTTTAACTTTGTCAAAAATGTATTCTGGGAGGTCAGCAACAAATACTGTTCATTTTCTAGAAATAACAATAAACCCCCACCAACATAAGATGTTTATGGTTGTCGCTCTGCAGTGCTTCCATACATAGAGTGGTAAAGTGCTTAGACCCCTACACATTTCCAATAAGCCACTAGATCACCTTCAATGTCCTAAGTCAAAGGACTTATCATCTGGAAAGACACTCAATCTTGGGAGTCATTTATTTTCAACATAATTATACACCAGAAACATTTTTCATCATACCAGCTTGGTGTAACATTTTAACATGTTAATAAAGTGTCAAATACCTCAAGTGGAAGAATAGATGCTTATATCTTTGCAATATGCAAGATATTATATTTTTATTTTGACAATTTTACTATAAACAGAGTGTCAAAAATTATCACAACCAGATAACTCAAAACTAAAATCATCGAGGAATTCTCTTCTACACTGTAATTCATGCTTTGTTTCATATTTGCACACATGGTTTACTACCACCACCACCCCCAATCTTGCATACACTTCTCTAATTATGAAGGTAAAAATGTGTATTTTCTTTAGAATTTTAATTTCATTGTCAACAGCATGAGCTTCAATGGAGATCTGGTCAAAGAAATTGAAAACAGTGTGATTTTGTGTATGTGTGTACAAGACAAAAGGAAATGTTCTTAAGGCGGTTTTAACAGTTAAATACATTCTAATCTAGTGCTTAGATTCTGCCCAAGACTCTGATCACTAGGATCATGCTAGCAGTGGGGGCAAAAACAATAATTTATCCTACAATTGCCTCTTTTTGTTTTTAGAGGAAAAACTTCTACTAAACCTGGTGAATTTTCGTTTCTTCTGGCCAAATGCTGTTGGAAGAAAATCTCTACTGAAAGTGATAGAGGGAATTATGTGAGTCAATATGACATTTGCCTCTTCATAAGTAAATAGATTATTTAATGACTTGCCTGTTGGCAATTTTTCACCCATAGGATAAGAAATAATTTCTTACTGTGTCATCAAATACAATATATTAATACATTAAATCATATGAAAATTACCTCTAAGCATAAGTTTTAAGAGGCCTTTATTTCTTTTCAATTTTAGCCAATGATTGGCAAAAAGCATATAGCATACAAATCAAAATAAATCAAGGCACTAAAATTAAGCAACATTTTTCTGGAAGAGACAGGATCAATTAAACTTTTGTTTTAATAGTACAATCAGTGTGGAGTATGTGGTGTGGAATTATAATGACTGACACTGTCTTGTTTTGACTAACACTGTCTGTGAACACACAACTCAAAAGTGAAAGAAACTACATAATGCTCTGACTGAACAAATCAAACTGTCTATTTTCAAAGTGCATTTTACTTTCAAATTAAAGGTAAAGAGTTACTGGCCAACTCAGTCTGCAGAATAGTGCCAATGTGATGAAAGATGGCAATTTTTAGCCAAGCTGCCAGCTGTGGTCAGTGCCTTGTATTAGTGAATTTTAACAGCAGTTGTGAGAACTTGAAGAATGCAAAGGATTAAACATCACTCTAGATTGGGTTGGGGGAGGTGGGGAAATCATACAAATGCTAAAAATGTTCGAAGCTGCAAAGATTAAATAAAGGAACATATCAATTTGGAGCCACTGAATTACATCCAGCTGCGACAGTGAATTAAGAACCGATTAATGGCTAAAGCTTTTCTCCAGTTTGGATGCTGAAGCAAACTCATTAGGCTTTTAGAGTAGCTATAATGTGTGTACTGTGGGAACTGTTCAATGCTATTCAGGAGACTCTAACTGTAAGCTCAGAGCATTTCCCGCAGAGCTTCTGATGCTATTTTCTTTATATAACATGTGTGCCTGAAAACCCAGCCAAAAACAAGCCCTTTGTTTTTCTACTTTGTTGTGGTCTCTCTCAGCTTTACGTTTCTTGAACACAGGTAAATAAACTCATAATCCAGATGGTGCAACAGATGTGAGAGCAGCACTCTGAAATCAACAGACAGTGGGCAATACTTTCCATTTTCTCTTTTAAACGCTAACTAATATGTAATTCGGAATCTCCGGTGTAGTTAGCATCTGCTCCCTTCGGCCAGCCAAAGGTTACAGGTGTTCCTGATGTCATTTCACAGTAAGGCGTGGGCCTGACTTGTGAGCTAGTGCCCAGGCTCTAATCTTTCCCTACCACCTACCAGTTTTGTCATGCTGGGCCTCCATTTGCTGTATCTTCTGTGTCAGCTCCTGCTCTCTTTGCTGGGCCTGAAGGGCTTGGGCCTTTGCTTCCTTGCTAAAGCTCTGCTGAATGCTATCTTTTTCCTGTCTGCAAAACAGAGAGGAGACATACAGAAATTTAATCTGCAGATGCACAAACCCCCATCATGTCCCCTATAGACCAGAGAGAGCTGATACGTAGTAAATTGTTAAGCATAAGAAGACAAGGACCTTTCTAATGACCCTCCCCCACTTTAGGGGGAAGATCCAAACAACCTTCCATACAGTGTTAAATACGTGCCATGAATCCAAATGGACTAAAGTGTGCAGTGTCAAAACATCATAACAACTAAATAATGGTATTTTGTAACTTTAAAACACAAAACTTTTTTCTCTAATATTCTTAATGTTTTACACTATCAATGAATGTTTCATCTTCTGAGTGGTCAATCTTTCCCAGAGATACTGGAACTCTAGGAACAAAACTTAAATTCTTAAAACTAAGCTTTGTAGACCACCTCTGTTTTCACTCTAAACTTAAAATGGAATCTTAAATATAATGCAGGAGCCTCTATCTAGAGGCGAGTAAATGATTCTGCAGTGCCACATTCATGTTTTCACTAAATATCTTCACACATCAGGCCATATAATGTGAATATGAATACAAATATGAATACGAATAACTTCCCCCAGCACTTCATAATAAAATCCCTCGTGGGTCACATTGAAAGAAATTGCAGGATGAAAAGCTTCTGTAGTCAGACAACAACCCATCGTACTGTGATAGGACACTGACCTATCCCACTGGGTCAATAACCAAGCACAGTGGCTCCAAAGAGAGAAACTTCCTAAACAATTAGAACCTGGGGAATGCAAAGGACCTCAATGCTGGCAGCACTGTGGATACTGACAGTGTGTGTGTGCATGTACATGTGCACACACACACACACACACACACACACACATATTAGAATGGTTCTTCAAACTCTAAATATGGGTAAGTGATATTAGGGTTTCCTTCAATTAACTGACTTAGTTATTTCTAACTCCTGATCTCCTTGCGGGCATTTCTCATCCATGCTGCTTTAGTTTACTAATTGAGATATTTACTGCTTAGCCTTTGCCAAACTAAAAATAAACAATTCCATAAAGCTATCACTACTAGTCTATGTACCGCTGTGGAACTTCAATTCACTGGCTTCTAATTATAAAGCAACATAAGGAAAGCCTGTATTAAAATTGGTCAATGCATGTGGTCATGTTGTAGTATAAAATTCTGGAATGAAAATACACCCACACCTCACTCAAATGGAATCATCGGGGGTCCATGCTAAATGTGAAATAAGGTCCTGTCTGGTACTTCTAATAACAACACCTCCCCCCGGGATGTGGTCCAAGGTCTTGCGTCGCACTCGGTTCCAAACCAGTATATACAACAAATGGATAGTCAGACTAGGCTACTTTTTGCCTCCCCAGTCACACCATGTATTTTCTGGCCATGGATCACTGCACATGTCTCTTCCTCTTCCTGGAAAGCCCCTCCACCTGCCCACTCAATCCCCCTGTAAGATGTATACATACAACTACCCGCTTCAGGCCTAACTCAAAATTCTTCCCCTCTCCTTCCTCTCTCCTGAATTAACTATTCTTCCCTCAATGACCTCAATATATGTTGTGTACATCGTACAAAGATAGTATTTATCACACTTTAGTTATTGTTTAACATGTCTGCTTCGTTTGTCATCTTTATCTCTCTATACCCTCAGCCCAGCCTCAGTGCTTGGCACACAGGAAGTGGGTGGTGAATATTTCATGATTGGATGTTGTTATACTCTTGTCATAGGGGAAAGGAAGGCTGCTATCTTAACGTGTAGCTGGAGAATCTGCTTAAGTCTTACGAGAGGAGGCAAAAACTTTTCAGACGTGTTAGAAAAAGGTGCTTAGAAGAGAATGGTTCTAATGGCTCTGCCAGCTGGAGACCGTGCTGCTAAAGGAGTCAGCTAAAAAAACAAAAAGCCCTGTCAGACCATCCCCAAGTCAGACCCCCTGCCGGGGCAGGAGCCAGAGATAGAAATCTGGGGCTCTGCAACCCCTAACAATTGGGTGACATAAATGCATTCTCCAACACCAATACCCATCTGAAAGTGAAAGGGGCACTATTAATAATTATACCAAGATAACAGTCACAACTGAAACTACCCATCACAAACTGGTACTTACAGTTCCCCAATGTAAAGGGGTTGTCAATCTCACCATCATTCTTTAGAATAAGCTGCCTAATTACTGATATTCTAAATTGACTATAGGTCAGGCACGGTGGCTCACATCTGTAATCCCAGCACTTTGGGAGGCCAAGGTGGGCAGATCACTTAAGGCCAGGAGTTAGAGATCAGCATGGCCAACAAGGCAAAACCCCATCTCTACTAAAAATACACAAATTAGCTGGGCGTGGTGGTGCATGCCTGTAATCCCAGCTACTTGGGAGGCTGAGGCATCAGAATCACTTCAACCTGAGAGGTAGAGGATGCAGCGAGCAGAGATTGTGCCACTGAACTCCAGCCTGAGTGATAGAGTGAGATTCTGTCTCAAAATAGATAAATAAAAATAAAAAATAAATTGACTATAGAAAAGAACTACTGTCATAATTGAAGTCCTTTTTATAAAATAAAACAATTTAAAAGACTTCTACCAACAAATGTTGAGTTACACATCAACTGATGTTTCTCGAATCCTTCCCCAAATTTCCCTCTATTTGGGAAACTATACATTATGTTTCATTGCCTAGAAACATGACATAGTCTTGCTTTCCAACCTCCTTTCCCCTTCCACTTTCCTATGTTGCCTTCTCTCCTCTCTTGCAGGTTCTGACTTGGTAGGCTTTTTATAAATTCCCAGAATGTTAGAACTAAAAGGGAACCTCAAATGTGTTTCATCAAACCCTCTCACTTTACAGTTGGAAAAAAAAAACCTACTTAAAAATCCCCAAGGGTCACAAAGAATTTGAAGTCTGCTTATAGGTTGCATAGTGAATGATTTAAAGGCAGAGGTAGGATTAAAATGTTTTTATTTGGGGAATCCTATTTTATAATACTCTAGAGCAGGGGTATGCAATCTTTTGGCTTCCCTGGGTCACACTGGGAGAATCGTCTTGGTCCACACATAAAATACACTAAAACTAATACTAATGATTGCTGATGAGCTGGGAAAAAAAAAAGGAAAAGAAAAGAAAAGAAAATCACACAAAAAAAATCTCATAATGTTTTAAGAAAGTTTACCAGTTTGTATCGGGCTGCATTCAAAGCTGTCCTGGGCCGCCAGTTGGACAGCTTACTCTGCTTGCGGCCTGGATGGTTTTGAATGCGGCCCAACACAAATTCATAAACTTCCTTAAAACATTATGAGATTTATGCACGGGCCTTTTTGTTTTTTCCTTTTTAGCTCATCAGCTATCATTAATATTAATGTCTTTTATGTGTGGCCCACAATTCTTCTTCCAGTGTGGCCCAGGGAAGCCAAAAGATCAGACACACTGCTCTAGAGGTAATACGATAATGGATTGAAAAAATTATAAAAAGCACGTAGGCATTCAAGGAGCAACTAGAGAAGAATGTAAATCAATGCATTAAGTATTTATCATAACTCTCTTATGTGAAAGGCACTCTGCTAGGCACTGGGTCAAATAAAGATAGATAAGACATGCTCCTTGCCCCTAGCAGGGAGTTCAAAATGGCCAAACAGAAAGTAGATGGCAAAATACTTCGTAAGAAAGGTATAAGGGGAAAATTTACCAAAGCATAACAAAATGAGAGTCAAATCCAGCTGGGTGTGAGAGCCTGGTGAAGGATGGTCAAGCCAGTCTCTCCAATTGGTTTGCTTTAATTCCCACTCAAAACACTGAGTAAAAAAGAATTTCTTGGTAGTTATGGGGCTGAAAGATTTATTCACAATCACTCAAAACGGGAAACAACTTAAACGTGCATCAACTGTTCAATGGATAAACTGTGGTATAGTCTAACCATGGCTAGGAAGGGTAGAAATAACAAGGAACAATGCCACATACAGCACTTGGCTGAACCTCAAAAGCAGTACACGTAGTTTAAAAAGCCAGACACCAAAGACATATATTATGATGTCATTCACAGGCCATTCAAGAAAAGTAAACACTAAGGGACAGAAAGTAGATCCGCGTTGCCAGGATTTGGAAGTAGGAGAGGGGTACCAGGGAGCAAAAGGGCACAAGGACATGTTTTGGGTGGATATAAATGTTCTTCTATGTTATGACTATGATCTTTCCACAATTCTATATATTTGTCAAACCATATTTACCTGCACAGTTAGAAATTGGTGATATTTTATTATATTTAAATTTACCCCAATAAAGCTGATCTTTAAAAGGAGCAAATCAGTGGCTTACACCTGTAATCCCAGCACTTTGGGAAGCTAAGGCAGGTAGATCACTTGAGCCCAGGAGTTCGAGACCAGCCTGGGCAACCTGGTGCAATCCATCTCTACAAAAAAAACTACAAAAATTAGCCAGATGCGGTGGTGTGTGCCTGTAGTGCCAGCTACTCAAGGAGCTGATACAGAAGGATCACTTGAGCCCAGGGAGGTTGAGGCTACAGTGAGCCATAACTACACCACTGCACTCCAGCCTGGGCGACAGAGTGAGACCCTGTCTCAAAAAATAAAAAAATAAATAAAAATAAATAAATTAAAGGAGGAGCAAATGGTCTAGAATAGGAACATCCACCTTTATTCTCCAAGTTATTCACATCACCTGTAATCCAGGCGTATGTAGGCCATGTCAATGTTTTCTTCATAAAAATTCAGAATTAAAGGAGTGAACAAGTACTGGCTAGGCCTCAAACACAGATTACATATACATGGAAGCATAGTCATTCCTTTTTACCAATTATAGTTCTGGTTGATTGCATTTTCTAAAAATGGTCACAATGATATTTACCATCCCACTTTTTAGAAACGGCACTGAAGCATTAAGCTTATATTTTTGATACTCAACTTTTTCATATCGTTTATTATTTTAAATCTTGCAATTTAAAAAATGTTCATGTCACAGAGCAAAAATGATTTGTTAAGCAGATTTTTTAAAGTACATTTTCTAATGATGTTAAATTTAGCTCAACAATGACCCTGGGACAGAAAAAATGAAAGGCTCAAGTCTGGAACAAGGACCTGGTAGTTGTGGGGTTGAAGCACCAATCCCACCTTCCATGTTCCTACTCACCTTTTTACTGATGTCTGAAGTTCCAATGTGAGACATACAACTCTTTTGGCTAAAAGGTGTTTCCCTTTTAAGATAAAATTTTGTGAGCTTTGTGATAGTAGCATATTGGTATGAAAAAACTTGTGAGAATTTATAACATGCTTACTGGCTGAAAATCATTAAGGAATACAGACAGAAGGGGCAGGGAGGTGCTGGGTACCGATGTGAGTTTAGACAGAAAATGTACACCTGTCCCAATATTGGTGCTATTAGCTTTGATAGCTTGATTAACATCATTGGTGTGCCAGACGATATTTAACAACAGGGCTCCAGGGGACAGGAAATCCCTCTTTGGTAGTATTCACCAATTTTCAGTGTAGACACTTCCACCATGCTCTATTTTCAGCTACCAAAGTGACATCACTGAATACCAAGTTGGGAAGAAATACACATAATTGGCTCTCATGGGCTGGTACAAGTCAGACTCAGCAAAACAGCAGTTAGGTGAGCTGTCCCAGGCCTCTCTACTGTAAAGTTACTCCTTTCCTCTCTGTATCAGGTTGGCACAAAAGTAATTACTTTTAATGGCAAAAATCACAATACTTTTGCTCCAACCTAATAAGTAAGAGGTAATTTGTTGGGAGATGCCTAGACTATGCAAACATCCTATTCTTCATCGAGCTCTCATCTAATAGTTTTACATCCAAAAATGACTTTTTTACTCCATTATTCTTTCTCTATTTTTTAGTTAACATTGTATTATAAGAAAGAGCTTTCCCTTCTCTCTCATTTATTAATTCATTAATATCAGCATGGAGTCATGGATTCATATCTTATTCAGTGGGTTATAATCCATTATGATTATTATTTTTATGCTCAATTTATCCTGGATTTGGCCAGGGGGAACCCTTTCAAGGTGGTTCCTACGTGACATGTCTCTATTGTTCACGTGGCTTTCTATCTCCACAAAATGTTGCAGGCTCATCTTGTAATGTCCTTGTACCAGTCTTGGAATCAGCATTTGACCAAGGAGCTGTTTTTGTGCCTTTAATGGAGAATGGTATTTAGAAATCAGGATCTGTCACTAGGTGGTGCTCACTGCTACTGCAAAATCATTGCTTCTAGGTCACCTTGGTGGACTAAGTCTGGATATGAATATACATGTAAGTGTATAAATGTGAATATAAATATAAATATTTGTCTGTATCCTATATGAATATATGCATACACATTCATACTGGTCTTTCCAATTACAATCCAACAACATACATAGAACCTTGTCTCCCTTTTTTCCATAATTGTAATTTTTTCCTCAATAGTAAGAAACTTGGTTCCTATTATCCTCAACATACTTGTTTGTTCAAACTTGGAATACACAGAAAGTAGTTTCAAAATTAATAATCTATGGAAAGCAAATCTACTAGTAACTAGATTTCAATATTTGCTTATAGTTTTGTTTTGTTTTGCCTTGTTTTTTAAACAAATGTATAGGTACTTTTTGAGTTTATTCTCTTTGTGCTCTGGGAAGATGACACCTTGAGAGGCAATGGAGTACAGCCAAACTCACAGAGCTAGAGGGTCAGAGTATGGCATCTACCACCTTATCACCTGTGTGACTATAGACTAATAACTTTCTTCCTTTAATACTGGGGTTCTTCATTCAAGCAGAACAAAAAGAAAATCCAACCTTAAAGGACTAATCCTTTTAAGAAGCTACTAATTACTAATGTTTACACATAAGCTAAGGTCTTTACATGCATTCTTTTATTTAATCCTCATACCAACCATATAAAGTAGGTTCTCTTAGTATCTTCACTTTATAGATAAGAAAATGGGAGCCTAGAGAGGTTATACAGTATGTCCAAGTTCTTTAGTTATTAAAGGTTACAGCCAGGAAATCCAGGGCTATCTGACTCTAAAGTCCACAGTGAATCACTATGCTTCAGTCTCTTCTTTTATCAGGGATGTAGAGAAATGAGAGAAGGTTGAAAGGATAACAAGTGTCTATTTCAATTATCTATATGGGAGTGTGCCATTTAATAGCCATATTATCCATCTTGACAGCCAAATCCCAAGCTAGTTCTCCTTCTTCTTTCCCTGTTGTCCCCTAAGCTATTGGATTACTTTCTCCTACAATGACACCATCAATTAGTTGTGTCCTTCTCGAAGACATATATTCACCTTTGCAAAAACATTGAAAGGTACCACAAACACATCTCCTGCCTCAAGTGGCCACAGACTCTAGAAAAGATAAGACATGTGCATCAATCTGGAATCTAAATCCATGGAGAATAGGAACCTTTGTTTTGCTCACTAATTTATCCCGAAAATCTGGAATAGTGCCTGGTACACAGTTGTGTGGTCAATGAACATTTCATGAATGAATAAACGAATGAATGAATGATCAACTACTAAAAGACGGAAAGTACTAAGTATCCTCACAGGTGTAAGTATCATCCTGTCTACTGACTACAGTCAGAGAATATGATAAGATAATCTCTATTTTTGCAAGAATTTATTATTATTATTGAAAATAAAACAAAACAAAAACAATAATAAAATTGGTAGACAGCATGATGTCTTCCATGTTTCAGAAGAACCCAAAATTCTATGCTTATTTACAGCTAACAGGGGCTGTATTCCCTTATTTGAGCAAATGTGGAACTACTGAGAAGAAACAGAAAGGAAAACACAGGAATGAGATTCTGGAATCTCTACTTCCTTAAGTATGCAAAAGACTTAATGGCATATTTCCTGGAGTAAATTACTTCTATTTTCTTCATTGCAAAGTATGTCAGAACTTCAAGCACAATGTTGAAAGATGAGTTATCAGATCAGAGAATGAGTCACTTCTAGGGAAGAAAGCAGAAACAGAAAGGAGGTCAACTTCTTTCAAGGGAATATACACAAAAGAAAGGAAATATTTAACAGAAACATCTCTAAAAATAATTTTCCCTCCAAAAATGTTCTTACAGTATCTCCAAAATAATTTGAAAACTTACCTTCAAGGCAAAAGACAATACAGTAGACTAGCTATTGCCTGTTTCTATTACATATGCACAATTCCCATCTACTTTTAAAACAAAACCACAGACTCTATCAACTCCAGTTACTAGCGCATCACCCTTTGCATGTCTGTACTTTCTATTTTAAAAGGCACATTCAAATGCACCGACCTCTCTATTCTTCATAACATCTCTGTGGGGCAGAGAGATGGAACAGATATTCCTGTTTGATAGATAAAGTGTCTCAAACTCGGGAATTAAGAGATTTTTCTCAAAGCCATGCAGCTAGTAAGTAGCAAAGCTGGAATCCAAATCTGTCTTCTCACTCCAAGTCCAGTGTTCTTTCCATTCCATGGCACTGCCTCACATGATGGGTTTGTTTAATCAAACAGTGGATTGCGCATCCATTCAACAAATACTTAAGCAACTACTTTGTGCCAAGCACAAAAGTATGGGGATGCATCAGTGTGCAAGATGTAGACCCTGGCCTCAGAGAGTCTATTGTCTAGTGAACAAAATAAACGAGTTTTGGGGAAAAAAACAACTCATGGTACAGTAAATATTAAAGTAGGGCTAAATTCCTGCCATGATACAGGTGGAAAGGATAGGAATTGGGGAGTAGCTGGGGACAGGGAGGAAGGATTTCAGGAAGCTTAAAAAAAATCAGAAGCTTAAAATATGAGTAGTAATCTGCCATACAAAGAATATAAAGAAGATTATTACAAGTGAAGTGGACAGTTTGTGCAAAGACACAGGGTGGAGAGATAACCAGGTGCCCTGAGAACACTGCAAACAGTTTTGGCATGACGGGATGCTGGAGGATATATGTTGTGGGGCAGCAGCGCACAGTTGGTGGAGGGGAGATTATTGAAGAAAGACGAGACTTGGAGATGTAGGCAGGAGCCAGAACATGAAGCTATTTTTAAGGCCCTCGTCCTGAGGGAAATAGGGAGCCAATGTAGGGTTTTAAGCAGCGGAGTGTTGTGATCACACTCGTGCTTTAGAAAGATCACTCTGGCTGCAGTGTGGGGAACAGATGGGGAAGGGACAACATTAGAATCAGGGAAAGCACTTATTACTACAGCAATAGTAAGAGCAATTTCTGTAATGGTTTCTTTAGATACGGTAGATACCATAGGTAGATACTGAGACTGAACAGCCTCAGTGCATTTGACAATGCACACTTCATTAATTTTCAGTCTTCAAATGTTTTCAATAGCTCAGGGTGCCTGATGCATTAAGTGATTGCATGGGGCAAAGATCCTGTGAGATAGTAAAGCACTACTGTATCCTATTATACAACACCCTGAGCCCAATTCATCACCCTAAATAATAAGGCCAAATATGCTATTACCTAAAATAAATTCGATCATGATTTTGCCTTTGTATCTTCATATTTTCAAAAATTCATATTTTCCATTTCAATTTGTCTGTATAAACTAATGACTTTTATGCATTCTTGGCTTTCTTCTCTGAAAAATATCACTTGATCTACAAATTCCCAGTAACTAATCCCTCTGATGAGTAACTTCAAATCAGGTATCAGTAGGATCAATATGCATTCTAGTGGCGTTTCTATAACATGTCAATGGAAATGCATTATTAGCAAATTGTAGCATAACAGTTTCTATTCTATTCTATTCTATTATTCTATTATTAAAATGTTTTAGGAATTAATTTCTAGGATATAATATTAAATGGGGAACATGTTGGTTCCCTTGTGGCTATAAAATTTATTCAGAAATATGTATAATAGTAAGAATTATAATTTATATATTTTTTATTATATTTTATCTCATAAGTATGACAGAGTAATGCATGCATTATTTATCTAGAATGTTGAGAATATGTTCCACATACGAGAATTTTCCAGGTATTAGATCCACAGAATTCTCGCCATTTACAATAGAAATATGTCTAAAATGTGTTAATTATGTCTGCTTTCTTAAGCAAACTATACCAAATACAATAAGCTCTCCTTAATAATTAAGGTTCATAATTTAAAACAAGGTAGGCATACTTACTGTTGCTATTCCTTTTGCTAGTAAGTGCCTATGGATCGTTGCTCATTGCCAGATCTTTAAGGGCTTAATAGAGTGGCTAGAAACAGAAGGCATTCAATAATATTTATTGCAAGGAAGGTCTCAGATGTTATTCTAAAGAACCAAAAGCATACTGGTCTTCTTATAATTCTTTATTGGTTGGTTTGCTGTGATTTGCTGCCATGTTTTTTTATTTTGTTTTTAATTTTTTTCCTTTTTGCTTTTTAACACCTAAAAGTGTGTTAGGATAGTTCCACAGATGCTGCACAGAAAAGTGCAAGGGCTTTGTGATAGTTACTTGCTTCTTAAAAGTACGTTTTAATTTATACCTCAATTTACAGCTATATTTCAAACTAGCAAGAAGTCTAAGTTTGGGACAGGCACGGTGGCTCACACCTGTAATCCCAACACTTTGGGAGGCCAAGGCAGGCAGATCACCTGAGATCAGGAGTTCCAGACCAGCCTGGCCAACATGGTGAAATCCCGTCTCTACTAAAAATACAAAAATTAGCTGGGCATGGTGTGCATGCCTGTAATCCCAGTTACTCAGGAGGCTGAGACAGGAGAATTGCTTGAGCCCGGGAGGCGGAGGTTGTGGTGAGCCGAGATCATGCCACTTCACTCCAGCCTGGGCGACAGGGTAAGACTCCATCTCAAAACCAAAAAAAAAAAAAAAAGAAGAAGTCTAAGTTTGAGTAAGTGGGGAACTTCTGTAATAAAGATAGTAGAATTTTCATTATTGCTGAGATGGTGTGCCTTTGGTCAAACATCCAATGTGCATGTATACAGAAATTACGGCTGTATTCTATGGACTAGTAACCTTGACTTGGCAACAAGACCACTGTAGTCCATTTTTAGAGTTTGATTGAGAACTCTGTAACCTCTCCGTCTTTGCACACAATTCTGGAGGTAAAAAGCACTACATCTACAGAAGAAAAAAACTGACGTGAGCCCAAGTTTTCTGATTCCTACTCCACTATTCTCATTCCTCTAAATAAGAAAATTCTTTTCTTGATACAATAATTAAGTCACTTTCTTCATCAAAACATTTTGCCTTTTAGTCATTTTATGATTTAACATTATTTCTATTTGACTTTGTAATACTTGCTTATAACTATTCTTATCTACATCCTTAATTATTTCCTCTGCTTCAATAACCTGTGTCTGCTGGATCTTTCTCTTCCTCTAGCCATTTCTTAGTCTTCGTCCTCACCATTCCTGTAGCTACAGAGCGGCCCTTTCCATTCCTGGAAACCTGCTGCTTCCAGCCTTCTAAATCTATCTTCAAACTAATTTCCACAAGGTAGCCTGCCCTGACTATATCCAAACTGAGGACTTTGTGCTCTGAGAAAATAAATATAAGCAACTGAAATCCTAAAATACCCCTAAAAACAATAGGATACTTTCAGCCTTTATCCCTTCGCATGTAAGCTCCACTGCCAGCAGGGCATCTGTACACAAGGAGGCAGAAGTTTAGAGAACAGGCTTTGGTGTGTGCTAGACTTAGCATCAAAGTTGCAATTCCTCCACTTAGCAGCTGTGTGCCCTAAGTCAGTGGTCCCCAGCCTTTTTGGCATCAATGACTGGTTTCATGGAAAACAATTTTTCCACGGACCAGGGTAGGGGGTGTGGGGATGATTCGACTGCATTCCATTTATTGGGCAGTTTATTTCTATTATTATTACACTGTAACATATAATGAAATAATTATAACACTCACCATAATGTAGAATCAGTGGGAGCCTTGAGCCTGCTTTCCTGCAACTAGACAGTTCCATCAGGGGGTGACGGGAGACAGTGACAGATCATCAAGCATTAGATTCTCATAAGGAGTGCACAACCTAGATCCCTCACATGCGCAGTTTACAATACGGTTAGCGCCCCATGGGAATCCAATGATGCTGCTGCTCCGACAGGAGATGGAGGTCAGGTGACCCCGAGTTGGGAACTCCTGCTCTAAGTAAGTCACATAACCTACGACTCAGTTTTCTTGAATGAAAAATAAGGTTAATAACAGTACCTCTCCTCATAGGACTATGAGGATATTACATATAAAATACTGTTAGTACAGCACTGACATATAGTAAGTTAAAAAATATTAATTAGTACGTATTATTACTATTGTTATCCTTATTATTTCCTAGAAGATGACTACTCAAACTGAAACAATCAATATAATTATCTCAAAGACAGCCTTGAGGAAAGAATAAAAATTTTCCTCAATTTCCTGACATAAGCTACACAGGGGGAGGTAGCATTGGCCAGCGTTGCACACACAGGGCTGGGCCTCAGCCCTGGCTCCACCATGTGCTAGCTGTGTCACGTCAAGGCGGAACCTCATCTCAATCTAAGCCTCTGTTTTCTCATTAATAAAATGATATTATCAGGATTATGTGGGAAGCTCCACATGAGGCAACCGGCAACGTCCAGCCCAGATCACCATTTGAAAGGTTCCTAATTGTCTAAATCCAGTTAACAGATCGGCATCTAGTTATTTAACTGTCAAATTTATTTTCAACAACTCTTCAACATATAACGGCAAAGATGGGAGAGTAAGATATAGAAGAACTTATTATAATGTGATGCTGGTATATTTAATCACTCATCTGCTCTTCAAGTAATGGCCAGTAAGTGGTAGCTTCCTCTCTCTTCCTCCTCCTCCTCAAAGTGGCGATTCTTCAGAAAAAGACTAATCAATATGAGTCCTGGCTACTGCCTCCAAAATTCAAGAAAAAGATGACATGATTTTCTTGTTTTAATAAAATGGTTCCCATTTTTGTAGAAACAATTCAGGGTTTAAGCTCATGAGAATCTAACTTCATCTCTGCTGGGCATTGTGGGAAAGCTGGAAAACTGAGTAACAAACGTCTAGGGCTGTGACGTCTGGAGTGGCAGCCACTGGCCACGTGGGGTTAGTAAGCACTTGAAATATGGCTAGGTTGGATCAAGACATGCTGTAAGTGCAAAATACACAAAGGGGTGTGAAGACTTAGGAAAAAAATTTAAAATACGTCATTAATAATGTGTTATATAAATCACATGTTGAAATACTATTTTCTATACATTGGGTTAAATAAATTATGTTATTAAAACTAATTTCACCTGTTTCCTTTTGCTTTTTTTTTTTTTTTTTAATTGAGACAGAGTTTTGCTTGTTGCCCAGCTCACCGCAACCTCCGCCTCCCGGGTTCAAGCGATTATCCTGTCTCAGCCTCCTGAGCAGCTGTGACTACAGGTGTGCGCCATCATGCCTGGCTAATTTTTTTGTATTTTTAGTTGAGACAAGGTTTCCCGATGTTGGCTAGGCTGGTCTCAAACTCCTGACCTCAAATGATCTGCCCACCTCGGCCTCCTAAAGTGTTGGGATTGCAGACATGAGCTACCGCGCCCAGCCTCCTTTTACTTTTTAAAATGTGGTTATTTGAAAATTTTAAATGACATGTGTGGTTTACATTTTGTGGCTCCCTCTGTATTTCTATTGGACAGCACTGGTCTGAGTGCCACTCCTTTGTCTACCACCCTATAGCAAAGCAGCATTTTAAATCCTGATTCCACAAATAAAAATAACCAGGTGCCCAAAACTACTAAACGTAAGTGCCTCATGAAGATATCAAAACTCATAATTTTCAAAAACTATTAAAATGACCTTTTTTAACCTTGATAAGTTTCTCATTTAATTCAGCCACTCACCTATGATTTGAAAGGAGAAACAAAGGAGAAGAATTCTGATAGAACACTAAGAACAACCGAAGCTGAAGTAGTCACCATAGTATACCAAAATGATCCCCTTCATTTTTTTTTTTTTGTAAATCAGATTTGGTTTGAGGCAACTCCCAAAAAACATATTCACATTTAAAATTAAATTACAAAGTATTATGAAAAAGTTAATCCATACAGCCAAGCTGGCAAATTATTTTTAAAATGTTCAGTTATGTACCTGGGTCACAGACTCCTTCCTAATAAGTGAATGTAAATAAAATTGGAAAATCTTCATCATTGGATAGTGTTTCTATAATTTTTAAATGGCAAATAGACATGGATTTCTTTACTCAATCTCTAGTAATCATCCTTATATCATTCATTACTTGTTTCTAGTAAGAAACGACTAGTTTCAAAGTTCATCAAGAGGACCTTGCAGTCATATTAGCTTGTCAATCAATGTGTCAGCCAGTTTAGTAAGCTATCCCACTGCCTGGGGATTTAATCTGTTGCCTTTGTAGTTTTCGCTTATTCCCAAACATTTTCTGCACCTTGAGGAATACAAATAAGCCAGTGAATGGTTTCAAACTTTAATAAAAATTGCTGGAGTTGATTTATTGAAGGAAATGTAATTTGAGAACCCAGAAAGCAGGGCAGGTGGGAAAGCTAGGAGCACACATAGTAAGTCTTCATGAGAATCACAATTCCAGTCGTTATCATTACAAGATGGTTATTTATAGAAAACCTCACCAGTAGAAACTGCTTGACATAATTATAAATTATAGGCACCTCCAAGTGTATTTACAGAAAAATTAGCACATTATGAGTGCTAAACTTCCCGACTTCCAGAGCTTATTGCCCATGAGTTGCTCCATTTCTTCCTAACACAGGAAAGAATACACATAAAAGGGAGGAATATTGCCATATCATGGGTTGAAGGAAAATAAAATCTAGTGCAGTCTGACTTAGTGGCCCATACTTCAAATTTGTGCCAATAATTCCTGGCAGGAGATTGCCTAAAACGTTTATACAGGAGAGCATCCACAATAACATCTTATTCTATGAAATCTCATTCAGAGTCATGCTTTAAAAGGTGTCTAACTTCAATGAACTGACTGGCAATCTAGTTATGTAATTGTCAAATTTGTTTTCTAGAATAAACACATAATTTAAAATAAATAGAATTATCACATAAAGGCAAAGTTGGGACAGTAAGATATGGAAGAACTTGGAACGTGACTCTGGCACAGCTAACTGTCCAGCTACTCTTGAAGTCTGGTCAAAGATGCTTCCCCACCCCACACCCCCATTTTAGAGAAATGACTAAATGAAAATTGAAAGTTACCAACCTATCTACTCTTTCCATGAACTGTGTGTGTTCTAATGAAAGTGAAGTTGCGGGGCAGGGTGGGATGGAGTAGGGTGTTGCAGAGGCACTGATGAGATACAATAACGAATAATCCCCATATGATAGTTTTCAGCAGTCCTACTACAAATTAGTTTAGTTCAGTTTTTCCCCAAGTGTATTCCTAAAAACGTGATTCCTGGAAGATGTGTGGAGATTTGATAGAAAAGCTTCCATAAGTCATATAAATTTCGGAAACACTGAAAACTAAATTCCTTTCTAAGAGAGTCACAGTGTGCACTAACATATTAAAAACGCTGAGAAGCCCTACTGTCAAGAAACCTGGTTTAGCCTGTTGAATACAACTTTCCAAAAGGAACTGGTGACAGAAGTTATTTTTCACAACATCCACCATCAGAGGCAATATAGTGTAATGGATAAAATCGTAGTCGGGAGCCTAGCTGCCTAGGCTTCAGTGCCTACGCCACCACTTAGCAGTGCTGTGACTTGGGTCAAGGTACTAACCTCTGAATACCTCAGTTTTCTTATCTGTAAAATGGGGCTTATGGCAGAATCTACCTGGTAGGGTTATGTGGGGATTAAGTGAATATGCCTATTACAGGGTAAGCAGCGTTTATGCGGGAGGTTATCTTTACTACCACTCCCAGAGGTAGTTCCAAGAAACGGGCTGAGTGCCATGGCTCATGCCTGCAATCCCAGCACTTTGGGAGGCCGAGGCAGGTGATCGCTTGAGCCTAGTCAGGAGCTTGAGATCAGTCTGGCCAATATGGTGAAATCTCGTCTCTACTAAAATTACAAAAATTAGCCGAGTGTGATGGTGCACGCCTGTAATCCTGGCTACTCGGGAGGCTGAGGCAGGAGAATCACTTGAACCCGGGAGGCGGAGGTTGCAGTAAGCTGAGATCACGCCACTGCACTCTAGCCTGGGCGACAGAGTGAGACTCCAGCAATAAATAAATAAATAAATAAATAATAATTAAAAAAAGTTCTAAGAAGTGAACTTCGTAATTACTGTTTGCAAGCTAAAGAACCTTTGTGTTTTGTTTGTTTCAAGAACCAGTAACCGTGTGCCAAAATCCAAAAATAATTTTTTTTTCCTTTCCAAAACAGGCTGTGAAAGACTTGCACTGAAGGGTTTTAATGGGGTTTCTCAGACAAGTCATATCATCAATGAGAACAAAGAAGTATAATGTGGGATGCAGGAAGAGCACTAGACTTAGAGAAAGGAAACTTAGACTCTACTTTTTGCTGTCACTCAACCACCGTTGGTATTAGGAAAATCACTTAGCTTCTCTCAACATTCTCACACATTATAAGTGTTGAGCTAGATGAGAGTTTCATCAATTCATTTAAGATGATCATGAGTCACAGAAAGTTTATAAATTTATATACTATTTTCTAGATTTTACACACACACGTATGTGTATATGTAATTACATAAACCTTGTCTGGTAGGTTGCAGGATACTTGTGGAAAAGGATCATGGGCTCTTTATTTTGAAAATTTACATAGTGCCTAGTGCAGCTAGAACAGAACATGTGCTCAATAAATGTTGACTGAATACCTGCTTAGCAGCAATCAACTTGTTATCCCTTCATTCAAAAAAATTAAAGACTCATATCACAAAAGACACTTTACTAGGTACAACTAAATTTACATATTTCTGGGAAGCTATTGGTTCTACCTATAAGAAGTTTACAATTTAATTTGTGATATGACTATCAAATGATGACACTGATTGTTGCAGTTTCTTTTTACTGTCTTTCAATTTGAACCCCGTAGTTCAAGTGAGTTTTATGTTATTATTTTAAAAAGCAGCACCATGCTAGTAGCATTATTATATAAATAAATTTGGTAATTATGATGGAAGAGATGGCAAAATCAGTACACTATAATCAAAGCAAGGATACTCCAATCGATTTTATATAAAATTTTAGATTAATAAGAAGTTATTAGATAAAAATTCCTTAACAAGTGGGAGAAAAAAGTACATTTTGCAGATGACTTTAAAATACAGGTCATCAACTTCCTTTTACTAGAAGAAATCACTAACCATTTTTCCTTCAAAATATAGTTGTATATTGCCTCATCCAGATTAAAAAAAAAGAGACCAAAATTGATGATCTTGATATACAGCACAGGAGTAAATCAACATCTTCTATAACTGTTAATCTGATTTCAATTCTTTATATTTACTGACAAAAGCATGCCACGAATCACAGACATTCTCTCTAAACTCAAAACATCCAGCCTTAATCAAACGTAATCTATTTGATCCAGGCAGTTCTGAGAAAAGGAATGTCAATACAGTACTCATTTACTTTGTGTGTTTAATCTCTGTGAGCAGTGTGCAGAAACTTTTGTGGATTATTTACGAGATCTTTAAAACCTCAAAATAATTGTGCATTGTCATCATTTTTCCCGGTGATAGCTTCTTAATAGCTCCTCCTCTATTGGCGTCTCTTTGTCAGAAATGTAATGTAGTAAAATTTTCAAGGAAAACTGTGGTAGACAAGGGCCCACATAAGTGGTATGTATGAATTGACCACACAGAGTATTAGCAGGGCTATCTCTGGTTTGCAGTGGAGAAAGTTACATTTTAATAGGTCTTAGAAAACAAGAAAGTCCTCATTTCTTGCTCCACTGTATGCGTACTGTTCCTTTTGTAAATTGTACTTGGGTTTGCAGGTGTCTGCCCAAAGGCAGGTCACTGAAAGTCAATGAAAATCAGGTCAACCTCAGCAGCAGAAATTAACCTGCAGATTGTGGCCAGCAAATGTGTATTTTAAAGAGCATTATTCCTACTGAAACAATCAAACCGGACTTCACAAAATGAACAGAGATCCAAAACAACAAAAGCAACCAACGGCATCTATTCTAACATTGCAAATTTCTTAGATATTACAGATGTCACCCAACAGTGCATGCATTTGCTTTCCATATGTGAACAAAACTGAGGCATCACAAGATAAATTTGAATGGAACGTTAACCTTCACTTTAAATTTTTTTCTTTTCCTAGCTGACGACATAATTTTAGTATTATCATAATGGAGCTTCTGGCTGGAAAAAATTAAATTAATGGATGGATTTAAAAAAGCTTAGAAACTTAAAAAAATAAACAACTTTCAAATATCTATACTGGATGGTGTCAAGAGCCAAGATGAATGTATTTCAATCGCAACTTCCAAACTAAACTCACAAATTACTACCATTATGCTAAGTGTTAGCTACCCCACTGTGCAGTTTTGCTTTGTGAATTTTTACCTTCCTCTATGAACACTTTTAGCCACTGATCGCACAGCCTTTCAATGTTTTCTGCCTTTTCCTTTAAATAAACTGGCTCTGGCTCCTTCCATCTGGTTCCCCTTCCGTCAGCAACCCTGCACCTGTTCACACCTCCTCTCCTGTTGGATTCCACTGAACATTTCCTCCTCTGCCAGGGCTATTCTGGCACTCGCAACCTTTCTGTCATTCAATCCATCTGTCAGAAGTGAACTTTGTTTACCGCAAGCTTCTGCTTTCTTCTTCAAGAAGCAAAGCCCCTCAAGGTCATTGTCAAATGAACTGTCGGCATGGATTTAAATCCTCTACTGCTAACCAGCAGAAGATGAAGTTCTGTTGTGTAATGTACTTGTGAAAATTACTTTTGGGTTCAGGAAGACAATAATTTGGAGTCAAAGTAGTAAGACATGGTGTTTTAATGATCATTTGTAAAACCAGACAGCTGATATGTATTTTCTTCATGTGTGTCTGCACTTCTCATTATACTGAGTATGAACTATATGTCTAAGAAGCAAAATAAAAGTTTTAAAGTGAAATCAAAATATCATAAACAAGTTTACACTATATAAAAATTGCATCATACTATATAGCATTAACTTGAGGAATAAATATTTTCACTAATGAATTAGCCAAGGGAGAGAGTATTCCAATTAAGAAATTTTACACTGAAAGGCTTAAAATGTACAAATATGTACCATTTCAATTATAAGCTATATATTAACACACAGCTCCATTACTGCTTTGAAAAACTTAACCCATAATATACAAATCAATGCATGTATATTATAAATTCCATCATTTAAAAAACAAAGTTCTGTTTCACTAATGTTCAAATATATGCTGCCAAGCAAACACATAATCTATCTAAAGAAATGTAAGTTGTATCAATAGTCTAGTTCTGTGAAAAAAATAAACTCATAGAAATTAGGTGAAAATTATACTCTCAATTGAATTTATTTTGTGGCATCTATAGCTATCAAGTATTTACTCTCCCTTCATAAATCAGACATGAAATCACTCTATGTTGAATTATTTACTGGTATTTTAGATATCATATTCTTTAGGAAAAGGGCAAACCAATGACTCAATTCAAATTTCTTATAAGAAAATGGAAGATCATTTTTTAGGAGAAAATATATGGCAAAAAAGTAACACTGTTACAAATGTGAACTTAAACGTGAACCTAAATGGCACTTCATTCATAAGGCTGCTTTTATATTTTGAAGGATTATCCCAAAATTTAATCTTATGGCAGATGCTTGTATCAAGTAAAATCAATCAAGTCTGTAAAATTTTCTAAATTTTTAGAAAAAATAAAAATTAAATATTTCTTATTGATATAAAATTGAATGTCAAATTTATTAACAAAAGCAGTGGAGAAAACGTGGAATTTAAAATTTAAATCTTAAAGTTCTGACTGATTAAACAGTTATAATTTATGAAAAGGATTTTATCAAAGCAGTTTTTCAGACATATTTTTAAAAATTGTGAGGCTAAATTAAAAACAGAAACAAAATCAAAAAGATAGGTTAAAATCTAAGTACTGAGACATGCTTCTTAGCTATAATTTCAATTTTATTGCTGACCTTCAAAATACCCAGTGTCATATAAATCATTCTCATGTAATATATAATGTAATTTAATGTATGGATTTTCTACTCAAAATATGAATTCTAGGAGGTGTTTTCTTCTTCATCTTCCTAAAACATCCTTTCTAAATAATTTCTCTTCATGTGGAGGAAATTTCAAAAATATTGATTAAGTTTTCCCAGCAAGTTTGTTACTGCTTTTCTGGATATTTTTCCTTTAGTGTAATCTGTGCTTGACAGTACTTTGGTCACCTGGATCCCTGCTTCTGAATAGCAGTGAAACAATCCTGGTAATTTGATCACTTCCATGGTCTGATTTGCTGTATAAAAGAAAGAAGCATTTGCAAGATGCTAGTTTAATAGAGGCTGCTTAAATCACCGTGAAGGAACTCTTCACTCTGAGTAAACTGCGTTTCAAAAACACACTAGTAGCCTTCTTTTGGATAATTTGTATGATACGAACATAAACAAATGAAAAGCACTCAGTTTTAACATCACTTCCAGTCACACACAGACACGTAAATGCGATACACACATACACTTTTCCATAAACACGCAAGAAAAAGAAACGGGAAACGAAATCATTACTTTTATAAATGGACTAATTCAGGAACTCAGAGAACACCGTTAATATTTACCTGCTTAATGCGTCATTGCTTATCTTATCTTTCAAACAGAAAAACTAGGAAAAAGTTTAGATAGTTTGATACTAACACCTGAAACACAAATTTTACAGGGGAAAAAAAAAAAACAGAAAAAGAGGCATTGAAGCAATGTTGCCAGGTTACACTACCGAAGAGTAAAGCCGTTTCTAAGGGCGCTGCTAGGTGAAGGCGAAGAGCTGATGTCACTCACATTCTTTAATAATCAGTTTTCCTAAAACAGCATATGGACGTAGGATGGAAGGTAAAATATTTAAACTCCTTAATAAAGAACTGACCTTAATTTATCTACATTCTGAATGAGACTTGCAGTTCTGTTTTTCTAAGAACTGTAAATGATGAAAATACTGTAATTTTCTCTGGTTTATTTGTTTTTCTGCCTATATATTTATGAAGTCTTTTAACGACAGAGGATATTCATTTTTCCACCCCCTTCCTCAATTACCTTAAGGCAAGACCTTCTTTCAGATGTGGAAATATTTTCAGGGCTGCAGGACAAAGAACTGGGATATTTTCATAGAGTTGATCAAGGGGGAAAATGAATTTGCGAGATTCTGTTAAGAGTAAGAAGAGACTAAATGACAACTTTAAATCTGCCACAATCATTTACTAATGTGCTGCTATATCAAATAAGTCTAATTTTTTGACAGCACCAAATTAGATTTATTGCAGAAACTGCTGCATAAATAGCATATGGCTATGTTATACCACCTATTTCAAATCCTGTAATGTTTCCCCCTCCCCCTCCAAAATGAATAAATTGAGCCAAGTTATAAACCTTCTGCAAAAAAAAGAAATAGACAAGTTCAAAAGCAGATGTAGGAGATCTGGATTTCTTTGTTAAAGTCGTCGTTTTAATACAAACGTCCCAACTCTATACTTCAAGAACCACGACTACTTAATAAGTTATCAAATTTTAACAGGTCAGTTTTCTCTTTTATTTGCAGAATGAGTTGGTTTGATTTTTGTCTTAAGGTTTTTGGCTCTGAATTATGCTTATATTTTGATGTTCAACCCACAGTTACATGGGGGAAAAAAGAAGGGCAAGTGACTCTGAATCAAACACAGCTTAAATGAGCTTATGAAAAATTATTAAGTAGAAATGCCTGTATCACATGGTTGCTTTTAGTTTTTCATTTTGTGAAAGACATATGTGGTAGAAAGCATATAAAAAAAATCTTTTCTAATTTTAACTATAGCCTTGATACTGCAAACTTTTTGATGCATAAAATGTATAAAGTGATCATTCCATGTGCCACACTGTATACATTAGATTGCCAGAACCATACAAACAGCAAAAATCAAGGTTCCATGGTAGCTGGAACTGAAAACTCACAGGACAAATTCAGAGATGGACAATTCTTCCTTTCTCAGTCACTATCCCAATGCCCACCCCCACCCTCCAAGTTTGACACAATTCAACTCAATTTTCCTTTTTGAACAAAGTTTCAGTTCTTCTGTAGATGGGAAAGACATTGCAAGGTCTTATCTCAGACCAATGGGCACACCACTGCAAACATCATGGCACTCGGCTACCCCGCAGACTCCCTCTCTGTGGTCAGTCTTCCCAGCTGCCCTATCTGTTACTGTCTGATTAGTTCTGCTAAGGAGCCCCTCCCCTGCCAGCTTTCGGTGCCATCTGTTCTACACAAGATGGCTGCTGCCCAGCAACCTAACACTGCCCTCCTACCTGGCACCCGGCTACCATCCTTACCCCAAAGTGCTAACACAGGTTCTCACTGCTGGCAGAGTCAGGATTTCATTACTACTACTTTGACAAGTGCAGGGTTGTTTGTAATTTCTCTTTTATCCTGATTTTGATTGTACAACCACCTCCCACTGATTCAGTTTGCTTCAGTTTTGTTGCTCACAGATTTTACTCTCCACATTAATCTCCCTCTGGCATGTTACTGCATCTGTTCCCTTTTTTATTATTAATTTTCAAATTCCCACCATTTTTGACAAAAAGGAGGTAATCTACACTCTGTTTCTGCCCATTTCATTTTCTTTAATTTGGAAGATAAGTATGAAAGCATGCCAAAGAAGTTAATTCTCCGTTAACAGTTTATTTGCTGGCATCCCTCAGCCTTTGTACATGAAAAACAGATAGGAATAAATGTTGACTGAATCACAGCAACATAGTCCCAACCATTCCTGCATTTAATGAAAAGCAAACATATGAAACGGCATCTAAAAAGTTGATTAGTTACGTGAGTTGTCGCATGCTGCCATTCTTTTTCCCACTTTTAACAGATAATTCTTTGTGCAAATCAGTTTGAGTGTAGGATCTGAATTTGGGTTCCTCCACAGTTCTGATCTGGGCTCGATTTTCACTGTAGATGGATTTTATTATTCCTTAATATCATTATCATCTTTCCTCAAACCAAACGTTGTTAACTAATTCAATAGTGAATGATTCCGAACAAATGCCTGACTTCGGAAATAGGCTAAGAATAGAGAACTGCCATCACTGTAACAAAGCAGAACTTACAGAGCCCCTAGGGCACAGAGCTGCTTCCATTAGATATTGTTTTGACAAAGAGTTGATATCAGGAATGGCAAGATAGTTTGCCTTCTAAAGACAAAGAGGATCATTTAAGATGTAGAAAGAACAATATATTACTCTGTGCCCCAAATAGCCTTGCCATAAAGAGCTTCAGTCAGGTGGTCATGCCCTTAATTGCTCTAAAGTTTTCTAGACGGATCAATACACTGACTACTCATTAATTTATTTTACCTGAACTCATATTAAAATCATTGGAGTACCTGAATAGATAAGCCTCAGATTTACAAAACGCTGAATGAGTTAAAATGATTTTGCATACTCATATATATCCTCATAAAATCACAGTTAAGGTCTGTAGGAAATCAAGTACAATAGGGGATTTTCCCCAAGGTGACAAAAAATAATCAGAAATAGAACTAGGACGACTGTCAAGCTCAAGCAACGTCCAGCCTGGTGAGCCACACTTCAGATGAGCTACCAGGCAAAGGCCTGGTGAGCCACACTTCAGATGAGCTACTGGGCAAAGGGCAAATCCGGAACACTGCCCAAACCACTGCCCAAACCCACTCTGAATGCTTCACCTTGACCGCCTACCACCCCCACCTCCTGCACACATTCCAATAGTGACTTGCTCTTTATTTTGTTTACCTCTTTTGTTCATATGGTTCTAATGGTTATTTCCTCAACACTGGGTTCATTCTTTTGGTAAATCTCCTGGTCAGGAATAGGCTTCTTGAAGTTAGATACAGGAAAGGTGTCAAAGGGATGCCCTGCTTATTCACTGGTGCCCACCCTGGGGAAGGAATCCCTTTGATATTCTGAAAACCAAGCAGCCTGTGGCTCTCTCTCTCTACCCTCCATGGCTTGGTCAAGGCAGGAGATGCTCAGCCCTATCACAGGTGACCCTGCCTGCTGGGGAGAGGCCACACAGAGCCAAGGTGGAGCACACTCTTAGCTCAGCTAGATGGCAAGCTGCTTCCAAACATTTTCTGACCTGTTTGGTGCCTACTCTCATCTCCCGAGACTGACTGCATCCTTTGCTTGGTGGCTCTAACAGAGTTGCAGCATAATAAAAATGTGTTTACTTGAAGTGGGCCCTGGTCTCCCATGAGACATGGCTTGGGAGAGGGCACTGAGGAGACTGAATATTCCCTAAGCCTCTTACTTGCTCAGGATCCTTAAAATGAGCTTTAATTCCAAGATTTATCAATCAACAAATCACGATGTACTTTGTGGGTATCACGGAAACATTAAATAACAAGGCAGTAATGCCTAACAACTGATGTAAAGAACACATTCACTAGGAGGAGGTGTTTAAGAAGAAACTAAATATCAAAGGCGGGCACAGT
Source organism: Homo sapiens (assembly GCF_000001405.40). Taxonomy (NCBI): domain Eukaryota; kingdom Metazoa; phylum Chordata; class Mammalia; order Primates; family Hominidae; genus Homo; species Homo sapiens. The sequence continues at coordinate 403,193 of NT_187519.1, read as the reverse complement.
GGCACGCACATGTCATCCCAGCTACTTGAAAGGCTCAGGAGGGAGTTCCGCTTGAGCCCAGGAGTTTGAAGCCAGGCTGGGCAATACAGCGAGACTGTGCCTCTAAAAATATATATAAAAGAATGTGAATTAATTTTAGAAATTTACCGGAAGAAATTAAACATCAAGGTGATGGGCTTTTGTTATATTCCTTTTACTTTAAAAATAATATTGGAGAGCAGAACTTTCTTTTAGAGACATACTCTGGCTTAGGGCTACTATGAGAACAATTCTATGTTTTTGCTTTTTCTTTCCTATTTTCATTGAACCTGATGCTCATTGTTGTTGAGTCAGGCAAGTGGTGTGGGCAATACATTCTCGGTTTCCTCTGGGCTTCTTCAGGAAATGAGTTGGCTGCCGCTGCCACCATGCTCCAGGCTGTGGGCCTATGTGGCAGGGGAGATGAGTGCATCCCCAGTGGAGATTTTCATTGCATTCACATTTGGGCTTCACAGAACTGAGAGGAGCGAGCCAGGGAACGTTAAGCAGAACCTGCAAACACACATTTCCTGGCACTGCCTGACTTTCGAACCTCTCCCGCCCCGGGCCACACTGAGACCAGGGTTCTTAGCCCTTCAAACAGGTGGAGCAGAGCAGGCTCAGGCAGTGTGGTGTCCACCAGAGCAAAATGAAATGCCTTTTCTTTTCTGGCTTTCTGACAGCCTGTTTTCTCTGATACTGGGTGGGGGAAGGAAAAGAGGACGCAATTTAAAACAGCACCAAGGCCATCTATTTCAAGCCTTGAAGATGTTGGTTGCACATATATCCATTTAAAATTATTTTTGACACATTCTCTGCTTAATTTATTCATGAAAGGAGTACAAGAAAAAAATGAGCTTAACTTTGAAATGGAAACTTTAGGCTAAAAATTCTTGAATAAAACTCAGGAGGAAAAAAAAGATAAAGTTCACTGTAAAATAGCAAGAATATACATCAATGTTATAATATCCTCTTCAAATAAACAGATAATGAGTTTGGCTTTTTGACCTAAGCTTGTTGTTATCTTAAGATGAGTTCCCCCCAACTTTTTGTTTTAATTTTCCCAATAATAAAGAGCAAAGGGAACTTTACTCAATGTTTATAGAAAATCTGCTAAACACCCAGTGCCTGACTTGGTGCTGGGGGCACAGAGATGAAAGAGACCTGCTTCCTGGTCTGGGTGCTGAGATTTTACAACACCAAAAGTGTTTCTATCTCAGTTTGAAACAAGCTTTTGCCCTTCATCCCCTGCCTACTCTCCTCCCTCCTGGATGCCCAACCTCAAGCTTCCCCTTCGGAGGCTCGGCTTCCTCATCTATAAAGGACTGTTTTTTCTTAGGCTTGCTGGAAGCAGTGAGAAGCATAGCATCTCAAGCTTCTTGTGGTAAATGATCAGCATATTTGTTTTAATTTCTAATCTTTTGCAAATAGTTTTTTAAAACACAATAAAAATGAATTACTAGAAAAAAATTTAAAAGATACTCCCCCAAAAAAAGCTCATTGATCATGCGCTTGAAAATTGTGACAATTTAAAATTGATATAAAATTTGCCAAATACTTCTGTAGATTCCGGTACTTATCTTGCCATAGACACTAACAAGCAGCCATCATGGGCCACAGCTGGAACAGCACTATGCAGAAACCAAGCACAATACATGTGCATGCTAGAGATTTAGCTGTGCTTCTTTCTTTTTATATTCTAAGAGTTTTCTAAGTAAAACAACAAAGAGACCCTGTTGTTGTGAAGAACTGATGATGCCTCTTTGGACTTATCACATGTTGACAATGGAGAATATCATTTTCCAACATACATGGACAAAAATGTGCACTTCACTCCCCTCTCTCCACTTGAAACCATTTCTTAGAGGAAAAATCAGGACTTGCATTTTTATTTATTATTTTTTTTTTGGGGGGGGGAGGGGGGACAGAGTCTCGCTCTGTCGCCCAGGCTGGAGTGCGATGGCAATCAAAGCTCACTGTAGCCTTAAACTCCCAGGCTCAAGCAGTCTTCCCAAGTAGCCAGGACTACAGGCACGCACCACCACGTAGCCTCCCAAATAGCCAGGACTCAGGCACGCACCACCACGTAGCCTCCCAAATAGCCAGGACTCAGGCACGCACCACCACGTAGCTTCCCAAATAGCCAGGACTCAGGCACGCACCACCACGTAGCCTCCCAAATAACCAGGACTCAGGCATGCACCACCATGTAGCCTCCCAAATAGCCAGGACCCAGGCACGCACCACCACGTAGCCTCCCAAGTAGCCAGGACCCAGGCGCGCACCACCATGTAGCCTCCCAAATAGCTAGGACTACAGGCATGCACAACCATGCCTGGCTAATTTTTTAATTTTTTTTTTTTTTTTTTGGTAGAGCTGGGGTCTCATTATGTTGCTCAGACTGGTCTTGACCTCCTGGCCTCAAGTGATCCTCCCACCTTGGCCTCCCAAGGTGCTGGGATTACAGGCATGAGCCATGGCACCTGACCAGGGATTATATTTTTAAAAAGACAACAAGGGCAACAGTGCAGATACTTGGTGTTTTACTCACCCAGGATCCCTGACACCTTTCCCCTAGTAAGAGCACTTCCCCTTACTTAGTGAAACTTTCTTCCCTTATTCCATGTGGTTCTGAAGAGGCTACCAGCCACAGCACCCAAAAGTGCGTGTGTGTGCCCAAGGGTGATCCTAACCAAAGGTTTTGAAATTGGAAGTGAAGGAGCTAGGAAGTCACATTCTTACAGTTTGAAATCAAAGGTATTTCCTTTATCATCAATTTCAGAATGAAAGATGTTTTACTTCATGGTATGAAAGAATCTGAAAGAATTAGCAAAATTCAGATAGAAATTGAGCCCTGTTCTGGAAAGTTAGAATATGATAGCATGCTGGCTCCAGGAAACCCTGAGTCCAGCTGCACCTGGATTGTACATGGTCTAGTTATAAAAATTTATCAATTTCTCCTTTTTGGATTTCAGTTCACCCAAAAAGTCCTGACTCGTATGGATAGGCTGGGAGGTCAAACAATTAATTTCAAGAAAATATCTGTACTAGAGGCCGGGCACAGTGGCTCACACCTGTAATCCTAGCACTTTGGGAGGCTAAGGCAGGCAGATCACCAGAGGTCAGGAGTTTGAGACCAGTCTGGCCAACATGGTGAAACCCCGTCTCTACTAAAAATACAAAAATTAGCCAGGCATGGTGGTGCCTACCTGTAATCCCAGCTACTTGGGAGGGTGAGACACGAGAATTGCTTGGACCTGGGAGGCAGAGGTTGTAGTGAGCCAAGACCACACCACTGCACTGCAGGCTGGGCAACAGAGCAAGACTCTTGCTTCAAATTAAAGAAACAAATAAGTAACTGTACTAGTTACTATGTGGAAACTGAAAGCCCTGGAAAGGCAGCCTCTATCACTCTCCCCACATGATCTATCCATCATAACAGGTTAACCTAGTGACTCCTCTGCTGTACCCTTTTCTCACTTTCAAAAAGACACAAATCCTATAGGTCAAGTTGCTGTCTCTCTAGGTCACAGGTCAGATCTTCCCATCTGGATCACAAAAGTAGGTCACAGTATAATACCTGTTTGGTGGACTCTCACTTAGATTCCTGCTCTGAGAAATTCTTTGAAGTACATACATATTATTAAAAAGATCATTTATGTAAAAGGAGAAATAAGAATTTTTAAGGTTTTGTACTTAGGGCAATCCGAGTTCTAAATTCTCTGGATAATAAACAAAAGAAAGCTTCCTGCAGTAGTTCCCCTCAAGATCAGATACAAGAAAAAAAAAATGCAGGATTTAAAAAAATGTGTTTCAGTACATGGGCAAAAGGTATGGAAAAGAATGTCTCAGTAAGCAGTTAATAAGAATCACATAAACGGTAAGAAGTGGTTGCTTTATTCAGCCATATCGTAAATTAACCCAACCACGTGTGTATAAATGGTAGTCATATGAGCGGCATAAGCCACCGCCCCTGGCCTAAGATGAATACATTCTTAACCTCCGAGGTGATACCTATAGCTCTTTACAGATATTTGGACATGTCAAAAATAAATACTTGAAAAATTTCTACTTTTTAATAAAAGCCTCTCTTTCTTCTTGGGTGAAAATTAAGTAAGGGAGTAAAGTAGAATGACAATGGCATTATAATATGTTTAAATGACAATGGCAAATAATGGGCCAAGGGAAACTATGTTTCTTAGGAAAAATTCAAGCCAAAATTCACCGTCACGTGTCATGCATAAGGGAGCAGCTAACACTTCTTTCCTTTCTTTCTTTCTCTCTCTCTCTCTCTCTCTCACTTTCTTTCTTTTTTGAGATGGAGTCTCGCTCTGTCACCCAGGCTGGAGTGCAGTGGCGCAATCTCGGCTCACTGTAACCTCCACTTCCCGGGTTCAAGAGATTCTCCTGCCTCAGCCTCCTGAGTAGCTGGGACTACGGACGTGTGCCATCATGCCCAGCTAATTTTTTGTATTTTTACTGGAGACGGGTTTTTACCATGTTAGCCAGGATGGTCTTGATCTCCTGACCTCGTGATCCGCCTGTCTCGGCCTCCCAAAGTGCTGGGATTACTCCTGACCTCTCGCGATCTGCCTGCCTTAGCCTCCCAAAGTGCTAGGATTACAGGCGTGAGCCACCGCGCCCGGCCGGAAGAAGCTAACATTTATTTCTATTATAAATTCATGTTACTGATTTTCTAAGTTGTCTTTTTCAGAACAACTGCATTAATCCATTTCTCTAGTAATTTACATAGAATTACAGCTTAATGGATAAGGGTACAAGCTTTGCAGGCAACTTACTGGGGTTCAAAACCTGCTTCGATAACATATCAGCTGTGTAACCTTAGAAGACTCCTTTCCTTCTCTGTGCCTTAGTTGCCTCAGCTGTAAATTACAGAAAATAGGAGTCTGTACCTTATAGAGCTATTGGTAGGATTATATGAGAAGCTCTCAGCTTGGTTCCTGGAACAGCAGGGGCTCAGCAAATGTTAGCCACTGCTGTTAGCTATAACTCTATTATTTTTTAAAGAGCTGCTACATGTAGCGTGGTACCACGCAGATACTAAGACGAATATATTGTTGTTGGTGGTGGTGTTTTTGAGATGGAGCTTCACTCTTGTTGCCCAGTCTGGAGTACAATGGTGCAAACTCAGCTCACTGCAACCTCTGCCTCCCGGGCTCAAGTGATTCTTGAGCCTCGGCCTCCCGAGTAGCTGGGATTACAGGCTTGCAACACCATGCCTGGCTAATTTTGTATTTTTAGTACAGATGGGGTTTCTCCATGTTGGTCAGGCTGGTCTCGAACTCCTGACCTCAGGTGATCCGCCCGCCTCGGCCTCCCAAAGTGCTGGGATTACAGGCATGAGCCACCGTGCCCGGCCTAAGATGAATATATTCTTAACCTCCGAGGTGATACTTGTTAGGTGTCTGTTTGATCGCTGTGTGTACTGTATTTAACTTACTCTTATACATACATGCACACCTCCCAAATACCATCGATTCCCCTACACGGAATGCCCTTCATTCCCATTTTCCTATATCCAAATCCTACCAAAATCAGTAAGAAGTAATCTGTCTCTCCCCCTGTAATCCTTTTCTAGAACCTCCCTTCTGGATCTTATCATTTATCTTACCGACTACATGTGTATGTTCTTTTTCTTACTTTTTTCTTTAATTTTAGAGACAAGGTCTTGCTCTGTTGCCCAGGCTGGAGTGCAGCAGTGCCATCACAGCTCACTGCAGCCTTGACCTCCTGGGCTCAAGCCATCCTCCCACCTCAGCCTCCAGAGCAGCTGGGACTATAGGCGCGCACCACCATGCCCAGCTAATGTTTGTATTTTTTGTGGAGATGGGGTTTCGCCACGTTGCCCAGGCTGGTCTCAAACTCCTGGGGCTCAAGTGACCTGCCCGCCTCAGCCTCCCAAAGTCCTGGGATTACAGGTGTGAGCCACCACACCCGATCTACTCATGTATTTTCTTCTCTTCCCCGCTAGCCTGTAAGCTTCTGAAGGGCAGCAGCTGAGGCCTCTTTATCTTTCTATCTCCCTTCATCCCTAGCACAGCGTCTTATGACAGAAAATGCTCCATGTAGAACGGGTGAATAAATGGATGAACATTTTTAAATGTACCTGAAAGTCTGTTATGGAAAAAGAAGAAGTTGTTTGAATAATATTAACAGTAATAACTGGAAGAAAGCAGCCTTGCTTTGTTTTCATACATGCTAGGCTAGACGTGTTTAGTGAACATGCTTACGAGGCACTTGTTTCAAATACTGTCATTTTTTTTTCCCCCAGAGATGCGGTCATGCTATGTTACCCAGGATGGCCTTGAACTCCTGGGCTCAAGCGACCCTCCTACCTCAGCCTCCCAAGTTTCTGGGACTGCAGGTGTGCACCACAGTACATGGCTTCCACTGTCATCTTTTAATTATGCGGAACTCTAGTTTAAGAGTGAGTGTGTGTGTGTGTGTGTGTGTGTGGTTTTTAAACACGTACATGTAAGTGAGAGGCCTGGTGCACTTTACTAAACCTACTTGCATTGTTTGTTAGAATGATTATCATTTGATTCTGATATACTTAAACATATATATTTACACAAAGTTAAAAATTTAAAAAAGTGATTATTACAAAATCATAATATAGTATCATAGAGACAAGTAAAATTCTCAATAAAAAATTTTAGCCTTATCACCTTCTTATACTTTGTACTCTGATATTTGTGAGAAGATATTTATTTGTATAGCAGTACTGAGCTTGAAAGAATAGTCATACATTTGGAATACAGTCACCATTTTCATTAATGACTTACTGAGCTCCAACTCTGCAAAGTGATGAGCCAGGGGCTCTGAGAAATATAATACTGATAAGACCTCTCCTCCTACTTGAAGAATAACACATTCCAGAAGCAAAAAATAGCAAGTACACAAAAAACTTCCAAATATTAATTCTTTTTTTTTCCACATTTTGCTTTTTCCTCCTTTGAGTAATTCATTTACTCAAATGCCATCAGCTCAAAGTGGGAAGAAGGATTCAAGGGGAGAAGCGCTCCTTTCTGACAAGAATCAATGGGGAGGCCTAGGTAGAAAAATCAGGATTTCAGGGAGACCTTGGTAAGAAGGTAAGATTATAATAGAGCTAGAGAAGGTCAGAGGGGTATTCTAGGTATAGAGAACAGCAAATGGAGGGAAAAAGGGGAGCTATGTGTACTGACATTTGTCTGGAAATCAGCAGGTAAGAGGGTTTCATCTTAGATGAAATAAGACTGGAAGGTTGAGAGCCTATCAGGATGACCTCACATGCCATGTTGTCATTTGCCTTTCTCTAATAGAGTGGCACCATGGAAGGTTTTCAGAGTATAGCAACAGAGTCAAGGCAGAGGCTTATGAATATTCACCGGGCAATGGTCAGCAAAAGAGACTGGAAGGGTGTTGAGACAATTTTGATAACCTTTGTGAGAGGTCAGCAGAACCTAAGTTACAATGAATTTAAGTGGTGGGTCTGAAGGTCATTTCAATGAACTTTCTGAAGTTCAAACTAAGGAAATACCTTAAACAAAAGATCATCCAAGCAATTTAAATGCCTAATGTCCAGATATAGGAACTTAATAATGGGTTGTCTTAAATCATTATTAGAATCATTGATTATCAGAACTGGAAGGAAACTTATAAATCATCTAGCCTCACCTCATTTTATAGGTACATAAGCAGGCCCAAAGAGTTAAGTAATTTGTCAAAAGTTGCAAAGAATGCCTGGAGTGAATGCCTACAGAAGATACTATAATTCAGGTTTCTTCAATCCTAGGCTGTCTGGGGACCTCCCCTAAGAAAAGTATATGGTTTTAATTGTTACTGCCCCCTGAAAATACTCTTCGAATCATTCTTCTTTATTCTTTTCTTATATATTCGAAGACCCCATTTCAGTCTTATCGGCTGGTGGCTGTTCTTCCATTGTTCTTTAAAACATGATCCTTTCTATGTGCTTTTAACCACTCCCTTAGCTACAATGAATACCTTTATGTAAAAGGGATCCAGATCTAAGCCTCTAGTCATGACCTTCTCCTCACACCAAGCCAACATTGGACATCTCCACTGGGGTTGCACAATGAAAAGTATTCTTTTCCTCTGCTACCTCTTTTAAGTTCCTCAGTTGGCTTAACAGATCCTCTAGTCAATTTGGGCTAGAAAACTTACAGTCACCTTTAATTGTGTCCTCTCTTATTCATGACTCCAAATACCTTCTGAAGATACTACTTCCTTTCCACTTCACGGGACAGCCACAGCCAAGGGCTTCATTACTCTCCCCCTGGACTATGGTGCTTATATTCTAACTGGGGTCCCTGCCAGTCATCTCTTCTCAACCCATCCATTTTTCACAAAGCTCTTCAATTACCTTCTTTAAATACATATTTGAATCTGTCATTATTCAAGCCCTCTTGACTTCTTACTTGAACTAAACAGCCTCCTGAGGAGTTGGTACACTTTTCTGTAAAGGGACAGATAGTAGATATTTTAGGCTTTGAGGACCATATTCAACTCAAGTGTGGTAGTGCCATACATAATAAATGAAGGATAATGGTAGCATTTTCCAATCAAACTTTATTTATAGATGTATAATCTTTATGTGTCAAAAAATATTGTTTCCCCTTTTTTTCATCCACTTAAAAATATAAAAACCATTCTTAGTTAATGGTCACACAAAAACAGATGATGGGTCAGACTTGACCCATGGGTTGCAATTGCTGACCTTGGGCTAACTGGTCTTCCTGTCTCCTAGATCAACTCTCAAAGCTCACTTTCCACACTGCTCTCTGAGTCCAGCTCCCAACCCAGAAAGTCAATCATGTTGACGCTCCTGCCTAAAATGCATTAAGAGTAACTCAGAATGGGCGAAACTCCGGAGATGGCCCATAAGGCTCTTCTGCTGGTCCCTGCTCCCCTTTCCAGTCTTATCTCCTACCAAACACCTAATCTGATAGTAGAGTTTCTGTTTTCTCCCATCTTTATGTCTCTGTATATATTGGTCTCTCTACCTGGGGTACCCAACCCACTTTCTTCCACTTTCAGAATTCTTACTCATGAACTCACTAATCAAGATTGCTGCCAAATATCTCCACCTCCCTGACTATCCCTTTTCACTGTCAGCTTTCCCTGATATCAGCTTTCTTTGACTATCGCCTTCACCTATGGTGTAGAATGGGCCAATCCCCCTCCCTATGTGCTCCTGTGGTAATCATCACTTTTATCATTGCACTGTTGTCACAGTCTATTACATTTGCATATACAGATGTAGCTTCTTTACTAGAGTATGCGCAATCTAAGGGTAGAAACTGAGTTTTATTTTTTCTCTCTATGCCTAGGACCAAGCAAAGTACTTAAAACATAGTAGGTGCTCAGTAAATATTTGTTGACTAAGTGAATGTTACACTCACCCATTTGGGTCCTTTAATTAATGCTAAATTTCTATTTTCCATTTTTTTTTTTTAGAGACAGGGTCTTACTCTGTCACCCAAGTTGGAGTGTAGCGGCGCAATCACAGCTCACAGCAGGCTTGAACCTCAGAGTTCAAGTGATCCTCCATCCTCAGCCTCCTAAATAGCTGGGTCTATAGGTGCACCACCATGCCTGACTAATATTTTTTGTTTTTTTGTAGAGATGGGGTCTCATTGTGTTGCTCAGGATGATCACGAACTCTTAGCCTCAAGTGATTCCCCTGTCTTGGCCTCCCACAGTGTTGGAATGACAGGTGTGAGCACTGCGCCTGGCCTCTATTTACCGTTTTAAAATCCCATAAGGAGAAACACCAAAAAAGTGGTAGGCTATTTTTCTTTTAGGTTGATGTACAGATCTCTACTACAGTTTTTAAATTTTCTTTGCCTCTAAAGATTTGGATCCTTATTTCATCATTACTTTAAACACGGTTTTCATATTCAATTTTAAACTTTGTTTAGAATATGCCATTTGAAGTGTTTAAGTTGAGACTGTGTGGTAAGGTGTTATCTGCGTGGGAGTTATGTATTTCAGCTGATCTACACTGAAAAAGAACGACACAACATTTCTCAGTCACACACCTGAGTATACTGAATCAATAAAGTATGGTGAGGGGTGGCAAACTTCAAAAAAAAACCAAAAAAACAAAAAAGTACTATATATCAGAAATAGCCCAACAACCAAATCACATTGTCAGTGCAAAGGGGAGATATACACAGTTCCTTGCATTTCTAATTGTCATCTTTAAATTTATGAATGTGGATTTTATAAAACATGAATATAGACTAAGCATAAAATGCTTACAAAAGAGTACCGCACTTAGAAAATAATTTTTATTTCCTGTAAAACTACGTTTAAATTTTAGTAGAATTGGTTTAAATAAAGCTCAACAAAAAAAAAAAGCTTTCTATGGAACCAAGCAAAACCGTTTTTCTTAAGAACAAAGGAATTAGTTACCACTCGTCCATTTTCAGCAGTTGCTGCATCTTAATATGCTCTACTTGCAAGAAATTGATCTTGTCAAACACTATAAATTGATACTATACGGGAAAACTCTCTACGGACTTTGACTTCAGAAATTAACTCTCTGAATAAGACAGAATGGCAAAAGGGGCAAAACCAGCATTAATATTTATTTACTGAAGCTCAGCCACACTGAGACATTAAAAGCTGTCCTATTTCTGAGGTTTAGCAGTGCTTAGCACACAAATGGTTGGTTCTGAATAGAAGTCTGACAGAAAAGAAAAACTATTAACATTACCATGATGAAGCTAAATTCTGAAACTTCTAAGATTAAATAGCCACAGGAATTATGCTAACGTTATGTTCTCAGTTCTACAATGACAATAGTTTAAATGAGCATTAAAAGAACAGTTATTATTCTGCAATATTAAGCAATTTTTTTCTCATATATGTGTTTCATCTATTAGGATTTTTTTCTAGATACCAGACATGTATTAATAATTTATTTTCTTTCTTTGCTTTCTCTTTCTTTCCTCTTTCTTTTATTGTTTAAAAGGGAAGATGTCAAATCATTTGGAATATTATCATAACAAAATGTTTTATACAAGGTTTGATTTTAACAGAACCAGAGGCATCTTAACACTCACCCAAAACTTTGGGAGGTTCACCAACCTCTAGAATATTTTTTTCTCCAAACGCAGGCTGTTCAAGTGGTGCTTTTCTCCATCTGTTAGCATACCGTGCTCAGAATTACATTGTCATATTTAATGTAAAAGGGATCAGTCCCCTTTCATAGTTTAAATTCAACATATTACTATGATTGGAAGACCAATGTTTTTCTAATTTATAAACCAAACCAAATATCATGAACTTACATGTTTATTTAAACAAAGTTCTCTCTAAAAACTGAAAAACTTTAAGAACTGAGCAACCCCAAAGGCTTGATGTGAACACTGCAAAATCGTAATAAAACTCAAAGTGAAAAGAAACCACATATGATAAAGTGAAATATCTACTTTCTCTTTTGAATTTTTCTTTCCATGTGTGTATTTATGTGTGTGTGTATGTGTGTGTATGTTTTTTTCCAATGCAGCAAATTCACAATGCTTACAACCTAAAGAGTCTTACTGTAATTTAGGGCCGAGCTACATATTTACTAAAGTTGATGACAATGATGATCACATCACAAAATCTCATGATGGAAATGAAGTAATTTGAAACCTCAATGGTGTAAGCCTGGTTATAATAATGATTTGAACATGAGCAGTGCCAATCTATTTCATCTCAAAATTTTACACCTCCTTAGGATGCAGATTCCTTATTTTGTATCAGTTCCATTTCAATTTGCATCTTACAATTTATTTACTTTGTCTCTCTCACCACTGACAGTATTTTATTATTTTCCTAAATGAATTCCTCACATCCTTCAGTTCAAGATTTTTATTAGACGTAGAATTAGCAGAAGAGGTAGTAGTGGTGGTAGGAGAAATATGTCATTTCGCTTATATTGATAGAGAATCACCTAAATATTTGAGCATTGTAGATGAAAGGTTTTGTAATCTATCAGTAATTCCCTGCCACACTTATCATTCACATGTCTGGGTGTTTTGCTTACCACATCTCCACTTTTCTTAATATGCCTGAAAGCTAAGTGTGAATTGAATGACTAAGACTAACTCTAACAACTGTTTGGAAGCCTGTGGCAAAAATCAGTGGAATGAAATCGGTGCTATGGCGCATAATGGGATTAGGGAGTACCTGGTGAGGTGCAGTTGGTGCTCAGATTCGCCCAGCAGTTCTGTTAGTCTCAGGCACTCCTCTCTGGCCAGGGCTGCCTTCTGCTGCTCCTGTTCCAAGTGTTGTTTGCTTTCATCCAGTTCTATTCTCAATTTCTCTATTTCCTTAGGTAGAGAGAAGGGGAAAAAGCATCCATATAAAATACATGCACTTGAATTCAAAATTAGCTCATTTTTATTTTTTGCCATGAATTTCAATTTGATAAAAAATTATTAGAAAATTTAGGCTAGCTTCCATTTTATGACAAAAGGAATTAGCACATCCAAAAATGCACATGAATGAGGTTTTATTTTGGATTGTAAAATGAAATCTAATTTTAAAAATGAAATGATTAAATGAGAGTAGTCAAAGTGGATAATTGCACTTTCATTCTAAGAGTCGTTCCCTTTAAAAAGTAATATTTACTTAAAATACCACTGCCTTTAAAAAGTAACATTTTTGTGTGAGATTCAATCAGACACATGCAGTGATTTACATCAAGTATGTACTTTTTATTCTAAAAGATAAATTTATGGCTTCATTTGGGTGTTTCAAAACCCAAATTAAAGGTAAAATAAATAAGAGAGATTTTCGAAAAATGTGAGGTGTAAAAAATGGCATGATTATGATGTTCAATATTACTTGGAAAAAATAATCCAGGAAAAAAAAAAGCATGAGAAATTTAAGCATTGAGAGTGTATGAGATTTCTGAGCTAAAATAATATTTCCATTTAAATTTGCAATTTAAAAAGTCAACAAGAACACTCTAAGACAAATATGAATATATAAAATTTATGAAGGTTTATTTTTTGGTTTCGGGATGAAATTATCCTTATCTTACTGAAACTCAAATATTTCAAAGCAAAAATATCTTATATAGGCCATAATTTTAAATAATTTATATATTAAAGTAGAAATATTTATTTATCAATAGAACATCTGTAAAATTAAGCCAAAGAAAATAAAAGATGAACCTTTAAAAATATTTAGGCTATTAAAACAAGAAAAAAAAAAAGAAAGGGCAGAAACATTTTCAAATTCAGCAGAAAGCAAGAAGCAAATTTGATACAGAAAAAATTGCAACCTCCTTTTGGAAAACAAAATCATGTGTAAGTAGAGGGATTTAAATTTAGTATTTAAATAAACTTCCAAATTTCCTCATGTCCTTATTCAATATTCTGAACAATCTCCAACTACATTTGATACATCATGGAAGATAAATTAAATAATTCATTTACATTTTTTCTTGAATTCATAACAGTATAAATATTCAGTTTATCTCCATCAAAACCATACATTAACCAACAATATAATAACTTAGTACAGTTCTCAAATATTGGCTTATTTGAAAAACTGTGAAATAATTGTATCATTTTCATTCACTGTAGATTTTCTGTATCTTTCAAATTGGAATACTAAGTTAAACTGACTTATTTCTTTAAAATACTGTGTTATTAAAGTTATACCCATATATTTCCAATTTCATAATTAAATATAATTAAAGAGATAAAAATAATAAAGACTATTAAATTTGTATTGTTTAACATTTATAAAATTAACAAAAGCAAAGAAATACAGAATTGGAATTATAGGTTAACTTTAAAACTTCAAAAATTTATTCATTAATTTTCTTACACAGTCCTATATGTAAGAAACTATACTAAATAATATGATGAATTCAGAGTTCCCATCTCTAAACTCAGTAGTTAATAATTCATCTGGGTAAATGAGACATAGATACACAAGAAGACTATCAAAATGCAAAGCATATAAAAACACCAACTGAGTTATAGAGAAAATTCATGCCTCAGTAGCCAGATGAGGGATATATTAGCATGAGCAAGAAAAGTGAGAAAGAAGTAAGGGCACAAAAGCTCCGGAGTGATACTTTAGATCACATTATGAAAGCTCTTTAATTGTAGATTAATAACGCTACATTTTTCTTATAGATAATAGGGTGACATTAATGGTTTAAACAGGTATGCAATATGACAGAGGTTGAGCTTGAGAAAACTGGATCAATGTGTACAATCAGTTTAAGGTGGCAAAGAATGGCGGAAGGGAGACCATGAAAAGATAATTGCAGTATTCCAGACATGAGGAGTGGAGGGACTTAAAACAGAAATATAAAGAGAAAATGGTGATTTTATGGAAATAAAAGGAGAGGAATCAGAAGACCAAAGATTACTCCGGAATTTTGAATTGAGAGAAGACAAAAGAATGACAGAATAGAAAATGTATAAAATTCAAAACTTTTTTAAAAAGAAAAGATACAATTTTTGTAAGCACTATGCAACAATAACAACATATGTACCTTACACTGGTAATTAGGTTTTAAGTACAAATTAGCTGCTTTCTTTTCCTCATGTAATAAAAAGTCAAGGGTTGCGTTGCCAAAACAGTCCAAACACAGAGGTAAAGAACATGGGTCTAACAGCCAACGCAAATCAGGGCTCCAGACACAGCTCTGGCACTTTTCTGTGACCTTGGACAAGTCATTAGACTATCATACAGTTTCTTCCTCCTAAAATCGGAGTGATAACAAGCTTCTAAAGCTGTTGTGAAGATTAAATTAGGCTAGGAATACTTAGCAGAGTGCCTAGCACATAGTAAAATCTGACTAAAAGACAGCAAATATCATTATTACTGATTTTTCCCTCTGTCTTTCAAGAACAGCAAAGTGACAAGAAAAAATGACCCACCTAAGAATATATGACTATCTCTAAAGAGTTCTCAATTTAATTCATAAAAGTTCCCCCTTCTCAATGAAGCAGTATTTTGGTGAAAACTGAATAAAACTTCATCTATTGTAATTTCAAAATGTGAAATGCATTTTTGTTAGGAAGATGGAAAATTACTGCCTGCTTCTGATTATCCATGCCAGTGAAAGAGCTTATTGGTGCAGATAATCAAAATCAACAAATAATCTAACCAGCTGGACCAGGGCTCAACACTTACTCCCTGAGTCAGGAAAATCTGCCATGGCACCAAGTCCAACCGTTAGAAGAGAAATCTCTTGCCAGAAATGCCATGCTCCCACTGGCAGGATAACCCTTTGCCTCACCCAACTAGGTCAGGGCTGCTTCCCTGGCTGTATATAGTAGCTTGGGGATGAAAGACCAACAACAGCCATAGGCCAATTGTACATTACTCTCAAAGCACACTATTAACCTGCATGTCTACAGTGCAGTTTGATGTGGCCATCTTTTGGCTAACTGGGCAAAGGCAGGTCCAGATAGCTTTACACCTTATCAAAAGGTATCTTTCAAGTCATGACTATAACCACCAGAACAACTCAAAGTAGAAACTGTTAAAAGTGGTCACTGCAAGAAAACAGTACTGGGGATCGAATTTGGAAAAGGGAGACTTGATGCTGTTCATTTATATCCCTCCACACTGTAGGAAGTTTTTTTCTTAATCATGGGCATATGTTAACTTTCTTTTTATTGTTGATTAAATTTGCCCATCAAAGTAATGCACCTAATTTAAGTTACATAGTATTAAATGGCTCATAACAAGGAACAGCAGTGCCCATGGTCTACCTCCCCGATTTCAAACCTAATCTCCAATGGCATGCACCATTAGTTCTTCTGATGTTTATCTTCACATTTTTAAAAGACAAACTTATACTGCTATTTCTTAAGTTTTCAATATTAGACCTTTCTTACGTGAAGAAGGGTGACAATTTAGGTCTCGCACCACCCACCCTACATACCCACCTCATGCTCCCATATAATGATTTTGGTTAAAGCATTAGTCAGTAGTTCATTTACATTATAATGATTATGAAAAATTTGCTCACTGCTGAGACAAGCATTATCTTGTTTAAATTAATTTTCTTATGTATCATTTTATTATTTCTAGAATTGTCTAGTTTTTTAATAGTTTGTTTTTCTAGATAACTGACATTTTCCCCCAAATATTCAAACATATCTGTTAAACAATCATCAATAATTTTTTTTAAATGAACATATTAGATAAAGTGTATGTTCTTTTAAGAACTGGATATATCCTTCTTGGCACCTTATGTATGGCCTGGTTGATCTCTATCTTCTGTCAAGCCTTCCCTATGCTCTTTTAGGGTTCTCTGTTTTCTGTGTCATAAGTCATCATGTTTCTCAATTTATTCCCTTTTTTGGTCGAAGTACAATCTCCAGGTAGCTTTAATAAGAAAAGGTACACGAAAAACACATTTTCGAGTATTCGCCTGCCTGAAAATGCTATTATTGTATGTGTACACTTGATTGTTTGGCTGGGTATAAAACTCTATTTTGAAATTAGTTTTCATTCAGGATTTTTAAGAACTATTCCACTGTCTTCTAGATCCTAATAGTACAACTGAAAATCCCTAGGCCATCCTGATTCTTAGTACTTGGTCTATGATTTACATTTTTTTCTTTCTGGAAACTTTTACAGTCATCTCTTTTTCCTTGTCATTTTGAAATTTTGCAATGCTGAATCTTGGAATGGAGCTGTTTTTCATTCCTTGTGCGCAGTTTTCAGTGAGTCCTTTTCAATCTGAAGGCTTATTTTTTTCAGTTTGAGGATGTTTTCTTCTACTATTTTAAAATATTTTAATGCCATACACTTTAGCTCCAGGACATTAGTTGTTGGATTGATTATCTCATTTTCTTATATTTTCCATCTCTGTCTTCTGATTGTAACTTCTGGAAGATTTCTTTGACTGATGACACCTCATTTTGAACGTTAAGAAAATTTTCTACCCATTTTGTATTTCTATGAGCTATTTCTTGTTTTTACGGACACTTTTTTACATAGCATGCTAATTTTAATCTATGAATATAATATTTTACCTATTAGAATATACAGTATTTAAATGTTTTCCTTTGCTTATTATATGTTGCCTCAGTTTCCTCCACATTCCTTTCTTGTTTGTCTGATTTGGACTTTCCATTATGTTGTAGGTTTTCCTCAAATACAGGATAATACTTGGCTATCCTTTTATATTTAAGAATGAGGCAGTTAATAAACGTGTGGGTTTAATAAGTTTTGGGGTAATATGATAGTTTATTTAGACTGTTGTTCAGCAAATATTCACTCCCATCTCCCTTCCACTGAGAGTGGAATACCTTATGTCTCCCCAGGGACTTTGGGCTTAGCCATATAATTTCATTTGGCCAGTGGAATTTGCATGGCTATAATGTAAGCAAAAATCATAAATAGATTTATGTTTAGCTCATGTTCTGGTGATTAACCATGAGAAGTGTATGCACTGGGTAGCCGCTGCCCCTTTGGCTTAGACCACAGAAAGAATACATGGAGATCAGATCCAAACCCCAACCATGGCCCAGACAATGCACAACCCACGACCTGAAGCAGAAACACCCAGTCAAATACAGCACAGATCAGCCAAAGCGTACCTGACCTGCAGACTCATAAATATAAATATACATGATTGTTGGTGCAAGCCACTGAGTTTTGTCAATATAAAATTATTACTTGAAAGGAATAAGGAGTGTTACAACTATACATCACCTTAGAATTCTATTTGATATTTGAAACAACTGCATGAAACATATAGGGCAGGTATCTCTGTTTACACATATAAGAAATTTTGGGTTGAAGACATTGAAAATTGTCTAAAGCAGTACACTCAAGCCTTGAACCAGATCTTCTGACTTCACTGCCTTCACCACATCGTACAATAAATTATGCAGTTGCTTTCAAACATTTTTTTGGCCAAGATCCATAGTAAAAAATCCATTTTAAATCACAATTCAGAGACACACACACATATAAATGTAAGAAGCATTTCAAGAAATAATATTAACTCTTACTATGTGTGATGTGCTCTGACATTTCCTATTCCATCTTATTTTATTCTACTTTTATTTTATCTTATCTTATATATATATTAAGATATATATATAGATAGATATAGATATAGATATAGATATAGATATAGATATAGATATAGATATAGATATGGTTCCCAAGTAGCTGGGACTACAGGCATGTGTCACCATACCCAGATAATTTTTTTTTAATTGTTAGTAGAGACAAAGTCTCGCTATATGGCGCAGGCTGGTCTTGAACTCCTGAGTTCAAGCAATCCTCCCACCTCAGCCTCTCAAAGTGTTGGGATTATAGGCATTAGCCACTATGCCTGTCCAATTCCACTTCTTAAAAAAAAACATTTCTTGCTTCAATCTATAAAATTGATTTCACAATCCTACAATTTGAGAAGCATTCTGTATTTCAGATAATTAAAATATATTTTTTACATAAATTAAGTAGAACCAAATAAAAAGTTTCATTAAAAGAAACTCTACTATACATTTTTCCTGATTTCCTAAGAAAAAATATCCAAAGAAATGAATGCAAAACCTATTTGAAAAATTATATAACATCTTAATTCAAAAGGATAAATTTGCCTGGAAAGAAAAAGAAGCATAAACTATAATACCTCAATGGTAGTGATTTATTCCTGCTAGTAAACATTATGTGACTTAAAAATTATTTCGCCATCTTTAATATAGGGTGACTTGTTTGTGTAACAGAAGATGAGAATGGGGAGAAGAAAAATTACAGAACAGTAAGAAGACTAGATCCAAAAATCCTCGCAAGTTAAAAGAAGGAACTGGTGGATTTGAGGCTGACAAATTTTGACAATGTGAATTTATCACTCAGAAGCCAATGGATGAATTCAAAGAATATATTTCCAAAAGTAAGGTAGTATATAATACTGAAAATTGAAACATATAATCTATCACTTGGGAGAAAATAATCATTTCTATAAAGTTCGGTGTGTGTAAAATATGAACTCATTGGAAATTTAGTATTTACTAGTTCATACTTTTATTAACTTATAGATGTTAAGATTGATTTTGTCAAATCATTAGTAAATTTTTGTCTAGAGCTGCACTAGCTTGCTTTGGCTATTTAAATTTAAGCTAATTAAAATAAAGAATTTAGTTCCTTACTTGCATTAATCACAGTATAAGTGCTTGGTATCCACATGGTGATTCCATGGCTACCATATTGGAAAGTGCAGGTATAAAATATTTTCATCATCACAGAAAATTTTTTGGCATAGCACTGGTCTAGAATATAGCAAAATTTATTTCTAAGACTCATTCTCCAAGCTAGACACTTGGGGAACCAGCCTATGTGAACAAAAGGATATTATAAGTAGAAACTCATTTTAGAAACAGCCAAAAATGATTATCCTCTTCACTGTAGCAGATGCAGAAGGTTGCTGATACCATTCTAGAAATCCTGTTCACGGTTACCATTGTTGATTGCACATAACGCTGACTTCATGCTTTCACTGTGGACTTAATAGTAACACTGATACCAGCTATCACTTTTGAGTGCTTACCATGTACCAAGCACTGTCTTAGCATTTTATATTTTAAAATTCCATTCTGTGTTCATGACAACCATATAAAAATAAGTATCCTATTCCTGTTTTACAGATGAGAAAACTGAAGCTCACAGATGTTAAGTAACTTACATAAGATTATACAGTGGCAGAGCTGAGATTCAAAACGGAGTTAGTCTGATTTCAAGTCCTATAATCTTTCTACTACACCATATTGTCTCCCTAAACAATCCTAGATACAAGAGAAAATAAAGAGGAAATGACACAGTCTGCCTTCTAAAACCTCTTGGCCTATAATGTGACATAGGTGGAAGACACAAATAGCACAGAGACAAAGGAGAAGATACAACCCAGATGACATGGGTCAAGTATCATGCTACCAAACACAAGGATCTCAATGTGCAAAGCCCTGGGCCTGGTTCACTCTGAAGAAGCATTTCTGCAGGAGACTTTAGGGCTAGTGACTTGAAGACGTCCTGAGGTTTGGATTTGCTTAGCCTCAAGTCCCACTGTCTACACCTTTTACAACATGATGAACTCCACGCCAGCCTAAGAATCAACGTGCAACTTAACCTTTCAGCCTTCCCAATAAAATATGCAACATTTTTGTGGAACTTTTCAGTTTTCCAATTGCTTCCAATGTGGCTATTTAATCAATCCTTACTCTAAGCAAATATTCTTTAAGGAATTTTAAGAAACTTTTTTTTTCTTTGCATAATGTTAACAGAAGTGGCATCAACTGATCACTTAAATTCAGAAGCACTTCCTCAGAGCTAACGTAGCTCTCAGCCAAAACAAGTGTTCAAAACAGATGAAATGGAACTATGGCAAGAAAGAAGTGCCTTTCTAAAAGTATGTGTCTAAAGAAGAGAAGAATTTCAGACATCTGATATAAAGCTGACTGTATTACATTGCGACAATACGGCAGACTTTTTGACTAAGCCAAGTTTACACCACTGTTCTGTCATGCCAGGAGATTCAGTGGCAAAAGAATCATTACAACTCTGCGGTCAGTTTACAAAAATGAGTTCAGGTGATATCTCTACTTTTTTGGGACAGGTTTAATAAAGACTTTATGTTTGCTAAAAATGGAAAAAAAATTGCTTTGCACTCTTATGAATGTAAGTTTCTAATCATCATAGACAAAATATCAGGCCATTCATTAAATCTGCAATTTTTTTTCTTTAAAATAATATAGGGCCTTTTCTGCCCCTAATCCTATCATGCTTTTTCAGTGTTCTAAATGAGTAAAATATTAACAATGTTCAAGGTATTGTATGCTGACATATTTGCATACATAGATAGAGATCTTGACTTTTTATGTCTGCTGATGCTAGGAGCAGACATAAAAGGTGTAAAGGAACATTAAGATAGCCCTGGATGAGGGAAAAATCTGAAATAAGATGTGATTGTTGGAAAGCTATAAAAGAGAGGTGAAACATTTTTCAAACGATGCATTGCAAAAGAGTTGTTAGGGTAATGTGAATATCGCCAAGAGTAACTGGGAGAGGTAGATTCAGATTACAGATTGAAATGGATAAAGACAACCCGAAATTGTGAGTAAAAAGAGATGAAGTGAAAAAAGACAATGTTGAAATAAATAGAAAAGTCTTAAAATAATGAAGGAGTCAAATATATAAATCTCCTAATTGTTGACCACACCAGTTATCATCTGTCAATGGTGTGGAGTTTTAAAATTGTCTGACAATAAGTTTTGCATTGGTTCAATACCAGAAAATGTATCAAGAGCTGAACTATAAAAGACAGCCATCAATCACAATGTTAAAAACCTACCACTTCAGAAGCACACCTGTCTCTTGCCCAGGTTGTATCCTTCATTTCTTACTTTTAAGGTCCCCTGTTTCTGCTCTTGAGTTTGATGTAAATGGCTCTCAAGAGATGCAATCTCTTATCACCCTGCTATGTGGTACATTTCATCCTTGTCTTCAAACATTACCATCATAAAATCAGATGGTTCATAGTTACTGCAATAGGAACATATAGTAGAGTTGCAACATGTAACAGAAAGAGATAAATGGAAGAAGTATGGGTGACTCCATCCACCATTCAACTCAATGAGTGAATGCCTTGGAGTGAGCATGAAGAGTGAGACATGACTCCACTGAGCCCTTGGTCGGTCACAGTACATGTGTACCTTTCATAGTATGACCATCTGACAACACTATGTGGTAATTTCATCTAAGAAACACGTATATTTTTCATACAAAGCACAAACATTGCCAAACACAAGTCAACTTGTTTATCGACTCCCCATTTGATTCAACAGCAATCTATCCCAACAATGAAAGTAAAGTGATAGGGGTTAAAATCTTTGAGATAGGGTATGAATGTCTCCAATGTGGCAGGAATATATGGCTCTAAATGCACATAAAATCAATACAGACAAATCCATGTAGACCATTAAATTATGAGGAATTTATGAGATTTTTTTAAAGTAATTTGGTCACATGCAATATTCAACCTTTTAGGCTGAACTTGGAACATAACCCCCTCCTGAAATGTCACTCCACTGGGATGAAATACACTGAGTTTATCTTAGTAGTAGGATTTATTTCACTGGCTTCACAAATAATTTTTATTCTAAGTTTATAAACATTCCAGAGGTTGAAGGGACCCGTTATACCTTACTACACTTACTAGGAGAAATTCATTGTTTTTGCCTTCACTTGTGAAGATTGTAGATTTGTCCCTACAAATATCAAGGGTCTGATATCACTGTACAGATTTTGAAAGTGGCTTCCTAATTCCGCTCTTCCCCCTCACTCAGCTGGGAGTTGACTGTTTTTAGTATCTGACTACTGGAGGACTACAATGTTTACTGTATCTGTAGGAAAGACATCCCAGGAATGGTGCTCAATGACTTACAAACCCACCTAAATGAACTATCATCCAAGAGAATGTTTCTATGTTTTGTTCAGAGCTGTATCACAAGAGCTATGTTAACGAAGGTAATAAACTCAAAACATTTTGGATATTTGGCAGTTCCTTGTTTTGCAAAGCTGGTAATTCTATGGCATCTATTCTACTGCACATACTATAAAATGCTATATTGGGACATTTAAATATGATGGTCTTATAATGTTTGTGGAGAGAACATAACTAAAAAGACTAATGTAGACCTATATTCCTTTGCTTGGTATACATATAAAAGGAATCCTTTAATATGCTATGACCACCCAAATGTTATGATTTCTAAAGAAAGAAAGGCTCAAAAAAGTAACAGTTTGGCCCTTCTTTTCTTTTCTCTTCTTCTTCTTTTTTTTTTTTTGAGACAGGGTCTCATTGTCTTAGTGTCACCCAGGCTGGTGAGATTACAGTTCACTTCAGCCTTAACCTCCCCGGCTCAAGAGATTCTCATGCCTCAGTCTCCCAAGTAGCTGGGACTACACGTCTGTGTCACCATGCCAGGCTAATTTCTGTATTTTTTTTGTAGAGACGGGGTTTTGTCATGTTGCCCAGGCTGGTCTTGAACTCCTGGGCTCAAGCGATCCTCCTGCCTTGACCTCCCAAAGTGTTGGGATTACAGGCATGAGCCACTGTGTCTAGCCAGGTTCTTATTTTCTAGAAGGAAATTATGTCAGCCATGTACTTGACATTCCAATTTAATGAAAGAAAAAATCATTTTCCACTTAAAATGTTAATATATAAGACTAATTTTATACACATGTATATTTACATATAATATTTAGATATATACATCTATTTTAAGATATACATATATATTATATTAATATTATACATGAATGCATATATTAAATATATGTAATATATTCAAGTTGACTTATAATGCTATTTAATAAAATAGCCCTTAGTACATTAGTAAACAAAAGTACCAGGAAGAAACTGGGACTCCTTCCTTTCTTCCCTGAGACCAAGCCATGATCCCTTCCTTGGCAGAAAAGCAGAAAGAGGGTGACTGGTGAAGATCACCCACTGTTTCTGAGGTGAAAGTCACCAGTGTAAAGGTACCTTTGACCTGTGTTTGCTAACAAATTGGCACAATTTTTTAAAATAGCAACTCTAAATTTACTTTATGTAAAAAAAAAACTACACCTAACCCTGACCTAATCCTTCTGAAAGCACTTCAAAAGGATTTTCTCATGCTACACTAGCTGTATTCAAATCAAAAATAAACCTGGAGTTGCTTCTTTCAAAATGAACTGCAAAAAACCAGGAAAACAATCTTTTCTGGTGGGACATCTCCATATAAAAAAAGTAGTCTTTCCAATGGCGAATAAAAATGAAAAATCTAAAAAGTATAAAAGCTGGTAGATAAAAGAATTACCAAAGAAAAATTATCTTTAAACAGTTACCCAAAATGCAGGAAAACATATCACAGCATAATAAAAGGAATATTCATTACAGTTATTGACTTTTATTACCATTTGACAATAGTTTTTTTTGCCAACTGAGAAAAATCATCCAAAAGCAAAAATAAAATATAATAAAATAATTCCAGTTTAGGAAAGCAAACTGTTAATTTATTCCCTTAAACTATTCCTTCCCAAGCTCTCAATTCAATACAATAAATATTTTTGAGCACATACTATGTGCCTGCTATGTGCAATGTGCCAGACATTATACATATATATATGATCCAGATGGCCAGATAATTTTATATACATGTATATATACCTACATATACATATGTGCACACACATATACACACTATATATGAATAATATCCAAGCTATTTCACTCTTCACTTTCTTTTGTAACTATTAAAATATTAATTGATTCCCTATCATTTTGATAAAAAACAAGTGCAAGTCCAATGACACATCTAAGGTACATCATTTCCTCCTCAAATTTACAATCATCTGGGCTACAGTAAATAACAGAAATTATTATGATACTCTTATTTAGTTTTCATAAAAATTTACAGCAGGAAATTATAAGTATTAATATTAGGGCTTCAGGACTCAGTAAGTGAAGTCTAAACATCATTTTCACATTATGTTGTTATATTTTGGGCTAATTATATTCACTTATGTCTAAACATTAAAGTTATTAATTACTCAATAGAGTAATTGCATTGAAATTATATTGAAATATAAGATTAAAAAAACTTGGTCACATTGCCCACTACTAATTACAGTGGTGTAGCTCCTGCACCATTCCCTATGTGTAGAAATATGGCTAAACACAAGTAAAAACCAAGACTAAATATAAAAACCACACTAAAGCAATTTTAATAAATAAGAGAATGACAGGCACTTTCAAATAAGATACAGATGCTTTCACTATCTATAAAAATAAAATAAATTTAAATGAACTGAAAATATTGCTATTCATAAAGTTATAACTGATTTTGCCTTAAGAAAACTTCATAAGTCAATTTAAATACAAGAAGTTTATTATTGACTTCAAGTTTAGAAAATATCTTTTTCATTATTAAATGTATTTACAATGCTCTCAGATTCTCATCATGAGGTTAAAAATACTTAAAAACCAACAAGGATGCCATTCATAATCCTAAATTAAATAAAGTTTTTGAAACAGTTTGTTCAAAATTGACACTATTACCTTAAATGAAGAGCAGCCTAAAGGTCATTTCAAAATGGAATTTCAACAATTTTCTATACTTCTACATATGCTTCAGATGGAATATTTTCCCAGATACTAAAATTACAGGAAAATCAACATACATGCAGGCATACTCTTCAAAGCCAAAAATTTTTCAGTGTAGATATAAAAGTATTGACAACTACAAAAGTCACAATTTCCAAAGAAAGCTGGATAATTAGTCTGCTACTATTGCCATAGTAAATATAGTTTTTTAGATATGGTATCTGCTACTAAAAATTATTGTGTAAAAGAAATTGGCCCATTTATTCTTAACCAGAACAAAAGGCAATTTTTGGCAAAATTATTTTGTCTCTTAGATGGTGTACACATTTTTATTACTTTTCTACTATCACAAATTAAAACTCTTATACCAAATGGTACTCTTACAGAAACTGTCTAGAAAATAATCAAATATTCTGATTGCTAAAGGGAATATAAAATGAAACTTTTGGCTTATTTTGTATCTAACTTCCAAGACTTCGATGTACAGTATTTACTTAGCAAATACAATTTCTGTTCTTTAAATACTGTGCTGCTTATATTTTTTTCTAAAGTGTACTCCTATCTAAATGGTCCCAAAAACATTTGGGAGTAAACTTCCCTGTGAAGATAAAATATTTTGTTTCATAAAAAACAAAATAGGCCTTTAGGAAAAAAACATGCAGTTAGGGACACAAGACACCTCAGTCATCATCTTAATCTATCGCCTCACTTTACAGGTGGGAACGTGGGATCCAGTGAAGTTAAACCACTCGCTAAGCCCACTCAACTGTACTAGAACTCAAGCTCCAGACTCTTCGCCGATACCCATTTCCCTTCAAATGTGGAATAATGCCAAGCCACAACGCTAACTCAGTTACAAGCATAAATAAGCTTCTATTGGTAATAATTAACTTTTCAATGCAATAAAGAAAACATATCGTCTGTTTCTCCTCAGACAACTGTTAATCAGCAAGAACTTTTTCGTTTTGCTCTTTTATTCTCTTATTAGTTCTGTCAATCTCTGACAACTAGAACAAATGTAAGACTTATTCTTTTTTTTTAAGCAGCATCTTAAAGCCATACATACTATTTCTTAATTTAGAGGAAAAAAAATGCATTTTCTTAGGTTTGGTTTTTGTCAATATTACTGTTTGGTATAGGTGCTAGGACAAAAGAAAATGTTTATTTTCTCTCAAACCAAGAAAACCTCAAATGTTTTTCCAGTTCAAACTAAATGATTTTGTTTTATAGGAAACTGTATTTTAATTTTTCGCTAAATGAACTTCAAACAACTGAGAAAAGGAAGTCATATTCTTGTAGTCTGGATCACTTAATAGTTCAGACCATGGAATACAGCTCCTCTTCTTGCCTATACAAACACACCGGCTCTGGCTGAGGTCACCTCTCTCTACCTACCTACCTACCCAGTTTCTGTTACTCCTTGGTGTACCTAATTACAGAGAACATCAGTATGAATGCTCTGGTTCCCAAATCCTAAGGAGAGTAGCAGAGGTAAAGCATTACTAAAAACATACCTAAAGCATTCTCACCTATAGGCTCTTACTAACATTTATGCTTGGATGCAAAATATTCTGACCACCCAAACAGCATGTCTGTGTTCAACTTACCTTTAAGCTGTTACTCTGCTTGTTGGTGACACAAAATAATTCCTCTTCCACTGGAAAACTGGACAATTTAACCTTATTTTGTTGGAAGGTTTTCACCAAAATTAATGACATGTTCTTATGTGAAGAGGAAACAGCAATTTTAACAACAAAACTAGGTTTATTTATAGAGACATAACTGATTGAAAAAAAAATCCTTCTGTACTGAGACATGGTGTACGTGATCTCACCTTATGGGGAGTTCTTAGAAAACTCACTTTAGCTGTGGGTTATGTAAATATTTCTGTAAAATTCTATTTGAGGAACTTAAGAATTTATTGAACTTGGTTTTAACTCAAAAATAACCTATATTTTCTAACTAATTTTAGCAAGCAGCACCAAAATGTGAAGTAGATTTTTAGCTAATATTTTGAGTGTGTTATTTTAAATTAACAGCTTCCACATACAAAGGAGTAAACTCATCTCTTCAATTTATTGACAATCCATTCTATTCCTATGTATGTATACAGCTTTTCATAGTTTAGAAAACACTTTCACATACATTACTGAATTTATATGCTGTGATAATTAGAAAACTAGCAAAATTCCTGCTTTCACCCATTTTCATAAAGAAAAATAAAATAGGCATAGAACAGAGAGATATAGGGTAAATGATTAGGACAAAAGACTTTAAAATGGAGAGTAAGTCAATAGAATGAATAGGAGAAATCTCAAAAAAATGATTTTAAGACTCAAATTTCCAATTTAGCCCATTTATCCAGGTTATCTAGATGAACAAAATGGAATTTCAGACAGCCCCATTTCAATTTTGACCTCTCATTGGGAGTTTCCCAACACGGGTTTATATCCTGCCAAACTACAAATCTGCTCCATATTTACAACGGCACTTTGATTTCTTAGCCATCCATGCCCGATTTCCTCATTGCCCACCATCAAGGCAAGCTTCTGTCACATGGTTCATCGGTATCTAGGCAAGCTACTTACACACAGTAGGCATAAAAATAATTTTTTTATTTGACTAGAATTATTTTGAAGAAGGCAATGGTCTGGTTCTTAAACAGAAAAATAAACATGATCTGGTTCTTAAACATCAATTAGAACAAATCACATGGAAGACAGAACAGCAAATATCAAATTACAAGGAAGCTGCAGGTCATAGGCTCTGTGATGCTCTCTGTGCTATACTATTTAGACCACTGACTTTAATGAGGATGCCACCGATGTGCTGATCAAATGTGTCTGTGACACAAACCTCAGAGGAAGAATTTATTATGGCAATATGTTGAAAAGAGGATCCAAGAGAGCTCGGACAAGCTGACACGACAGGCCCAAACGAAAATGACCAAGTTCCAGACAGGTAAATGCAAATGTCTATATTCACCACCCAGTTGTAGGTCAGCAGATGCGTGCCATGAGGGGTTTTAATTGAATTTTAAGCTCAATAAGAATTTACAATGAGACATATTTGATAAACAATAAGGCAAATGATAGTTGGCTCTGATGCTAGA
Organism: Homo sapiens; assembly: GCF_000001405.40. Classification (NCBI taxonomy): domain Eukaryota; kingdom Metazoa; phylum Chordata; class Mammalia; order Primates; family Hominidae; genus Homo; species Homo sapiens. Next base: position 374,904 of record NT_187519.1, on the reverse strand, counting down.
TTAACATAAGCTTAGGCAATAGCTCCACTGCTATGCACTGGGCAGTTCAAACTAGCAGTCTCATATTCAGTAATCATCACGACTCTGGAAAGCAATGTGATAAAATGGGACACAGATGGGAGAGAGATGAAGGTGGAAAAGCTAAGGATCACAGTATTAGTAAAACTAGTAATTATTAGTGTGTATTGAGCAATTATTACATGTCATGCATTGTACTATGAGGTTAACATAGATGACCTAAAATTTTACAAAATCCTATAAGGTAGGCATTGTATCTATCCTCATTTTACAAAGAGGAAAACTGAAGCTTGCACATTTTCAGTAACTTGTTCAGATTCATTGGGTAGTGGGTAGTAAAATGAGAAATTTACTTGAGGCAGTCACTTGGCCATCTCTTCACCTACCTATCCATCCAGTTACTGTGTTACTTGAGGCAGTCACTTGGCCATCTCTTGACCCACCTATCCATCCAGTTACTGTGTTACTTGAGGCAGTCACTTGGCCGTCTCTTCACCCACCTATCCATCCAGTTACTGTGTTACTTGAGGCAGTCAACTGGCCATCTCTTGACCCACCTATCCATCCAGTTACTGTGTTACTTGAGGCAGTCACTTGGCCATCTCTTGACCCACCTATCCATCCAGTTACTGTGTTACTTGAGGCAGTCACTTGGCCATCTCTTCACCCACCTATCCATCCAGTTACTGTGTTACTTGAGGCAGTCACTTGGCCATCTCTTCACCCACCTATCCATCCAGTTACTGTGTTACTTGAGGCAGTCACTTGGCCATCTCTTCACCCACCTATCCATCCAGTTACTGTGACCCTAATTGCAATCAGGGCACTGGGGCACTGAATACAAAAGAGAATAAGACAAGTAAAAGTCTCTGTCCTCAAACAACCTACATTTTAATGGAAGAAACTGATTGTTTAAAAGCAAATGAACAATAAAATAATAAAAAACTTATAATAAGCTCCATGAAGGAGGGGAATGAGGTGCTGTGAGAGAATAACAGAGTATACATTAGTAGCCAGTGAAGTAGAGACATTGAATTGGAAACCAAAAGAAAGAAAAAGAGCTGGTTAAGCAAAGGAAGAGTGGGAAAGAATATATGTGGAAGATGTTTGTCCAAAGGCCATGGCATGTCTGAGAAGCTAAAGGCAAACCACGGAGGCTCCACTGAATGGACAGGGGAAGGGTGGATGAGAAGAGGGTGGAAAGACAGGCAGTGGGGAGATTATGCAGGGCCTTATAAACTGTAGAAAGGAGTTTGGACTCATGTTTCTAAATGCAAATGGGAAGCCATTCCAAATTGCTAAATGGAAGAGCAATGCAATGCAATGCAATTCACGTTTTGCTTTCGCAAATGTGTTGAGTATGAATAAAGAGGGCATAACTTTATGAAGCTAAGGTTGTGATAAGGAAAGATGATAATAAACAAATGAGTAAGATATGGAGTAAAATAAAGCAGAAAGGGGGCAGGAGTACTCGGAAACTGGTTTACAACATAAAACAAGGTAGTCAGGAAAGTCTCACACAGATGATTTCAGCGATGACTTGAAGGGTTATTTTGTGATCCACAGGATATCCCAGAGAACCCGGCGAAGAAAAGAGCAAGTCCAAAGGCTCTGAAGTGGTCGTGGGGGCAGACTGGTTAGCACCTTGCTAACCAGTGACATAAACCTGAGAGGAATAATTTATTATGGCAATATGTTGAAAAGAGGATCCAAGAGAGCTCGGACAAGCTGACACAACAGGCCCAAACGAAAATGACCAAGTTCCAGACAGGTAAATGCAAATGTCTATATTCACTGCCCAGTTGTAGGTCAGCAGATGCGTGCCATGAGGGGGTCACTGTTTGACTTTGCCTTTGACTGCTACTGAGGTAGGAACCACTGGATGGTTTCAGAAGGGTGACAAGATCAGACATAGGTTGTTTTTTGTTTGTTTTTTTGTTTTGTTTTGTTTTGTTTTGAGATGGAGTCTCACTCTATTGCCCAGGCTGGAGTGCAGTGGCGCAATCCCGGCTCACCGCAACCTCCACCACCCGGGTTCAAACGATTCTCCTGCCTCAGCCTCCCGAGTAGCTGGGACTATAGGCACCTGCCACCGTGCCTGGCTAATTTTTATATTTTTAGTAGAGACAGGGTTTCACCATTTTAGCCAGGCTGGTCTTGAACTCCTGACCTCCTGATTCACCTGCCTCGGCCTCCCAAAGTGCTGGGATTACAGGAGTGAGCTACCTCACCTGGCTGATGAAAGTTTAACAGACTTTCTCTGGCCCTTATGCTGTGAAGGGGCTAGATGAGGAGAAGCAGGGAGCCCCAGTTAAGAGACTGTTGCTGGCCAGGCATGGGGGCTCACGCCTGTAATCCCAGCATTTTGGGAGGCCGAAGTGGGCAGATCACAAGCTCAAGAGATCGAGACTATCCTGGCTAACACGGTGAAACCCCATCTCTACTAAAAATACAAATAAAAAAAAATTAGCCAGGCATAGTGGCGGGTGCCTGTAGTCCCAGATACTAGGGAGGCTGAGGCAGGAGAATGGCGTGAACCCAGGAGGCAGAGTTTGCAGTGAGCTGAGATCGCGCCACTGCACTCCAGCCTAGGTGACAGAGCGAGACACCATCTCAAAAAAAAAAAAAAAAAAAGAGACTGTTGCAATAACACAGCTGAAGACGACAGTACCTTGAACTAGACGGTAGCAGTGGATATATGTGAAGAAGATATATGGACAGAAGAAAAGCATCTGAAAAAATGCTCAGTACCATTCATCACTAGGGAAATGAAAATTAAAACCACAATGAGATACCATTATATACTTACTAGAACAACTAAATATAAAAAAGACTGATCAAACATTTTCAACACATATAACTGCTAAAATATGAGTATCATTATAAAAGGAGTTATTCTCATCTTGATTCTAAAACTTTCCATCAGACATAGCACAACAAAGACTGACCTAGGAGTGAGAAGCTCAGTCATCTCATTTAGATACTATCACTAAGTATTCAAGGTTTGTTCTTAGCTCACTATGCATTCACTCAATCAACAGATAAATATCTGCCGTAGGTCTCCTCTGTGCCGAGTACCGGACACACAATGAAGGGTAAGTTAAGACCCTGACTTTAAGGACCTTACAGCCACTTCTGGCATGTCATTTCAGTTTTGTGGGGCTCTGTCTTTCCTTCCTCATCTGTTGCACCCGCTTGTGCCCTCCAGGTACACACAGAACAGTGCCTTTGTGACTCTGTCCTGTTTTCCTGAATGGCCTTCACTTCCCACTCTTGTTCCCTCCAGACTGGGCTAAAATATGACTTGGATGATATATTTTTTTTCTAAAATAACAACTTTATTAAGATCATCCACACACCATAGAATTCACCCACCGAAAGTATACAATTGAATAGTTTTTAGTACATTCACGGAGTTTAGTACATTCACTGTGAGGCCGCCATGACTATAGTGCAAATGGCATCTGTGGAATTGTGCAGTGCACAGCCTGTAGAACAGTATGGAGCAAGCCTGTTCATCTGTATTAGCAATGAAATCAATTTTAGAGAATGTGGCTCAAATCTATGGGTAAGTAGGCTTCCAATGATTGAACTTCAGAATTGGACTGACGTGCTAACACTCTAGTCACCAAGAGGAAGGAGGAAGGTGCTGGCTAACACTCCTCCTCCTTAGTTACTCTAGGGAATAAATCTCTACCTGGACATGAAGTTCAGGACTGAGGAAATAAAATAGTTGTGCAACTATTACCACAACCGATTTTAGAACATTTTATCACCCCAAAAGAAACTCCATGCCCATCAGGAGTCCCTCCCATTTGTCCCCAATTTCAGACCTGGACAATCACTAATCTTTCTGTCTCTATAGATTTGCCCATTCTAAACATTTCATATAAATTGAATCATACAATATGTTGTCTTTTGTGACTGGCTTCTTTCATCTAACATGATGTTTTCAATTGTAAGTCTACCATGCTGTAGAATGTATCATTACTTCATTCTTTTTTACTGCCATGTAATATGTATCTATATACACACACCCCACATTTTATTTATCCATTCATCAGTTGATAGACATTTGGGGTATTGGCAGTTTGGGGCTACTATGAATAATGCTATGAACATCCGTGTAGAAGTTTTTGAGTAGCATGTTTTGATTTCTCTTGAGTATAGACCCAGGACTGGAATTGCTGGGTCATATGATATCTCTATGTTGAACATTTTGAGAAACTGCCCGAATATTTTTCAGCCTGTATGACTTTAAATTCTACCAGCAACTTATGGGGGAGTTCCAGTTTCTCTACATCCTCACCGACACTTGTTATTATCTGTCTTTTTTATTACACTTATCCAAAGTAGATGTGAAATGGTTTCTCATCTTGGTTTTGGTTTGCATTTTCCTGATAGCTAATGATGTTGAGCATCTTTTCACATGTTTATTAATCATTTGTTAATAATATAGTTATTATTAACATATCTTCTTTAAAAAAAGTCTATTCGGATCTTTTGCCCATTTAAAAATTGAGGAGTCTTTTTATTATTAAATTGTAAATGTACCTTACATATCCTAGATACAAGTCTCTTATCAGATACATGAGTTACCAAAAATTTTCTCCCGTTCTGTGGGTTGTCTTTTTTCTTGATAATGTTCTTTAAAGGTCAAAAGTTTTTAATTTTGATGACATTCAATTTATCTATTTTTTTTCTATTGTTCTTTGTGCTTTTGGCATCATACCTAAGAAACCATTACCTAATCCAAAGTCACTAAGATGTATGCCTATGTTTTCTTCTAAGAGTTTTCTAAGTTTAGCTCTTACATTTAGTCTTTCATCCATTTTGAGTTAATTTTTGTCTACACTATGAGGTAGGAACCCAAGTTCTTTCTTTTACCTGTGGGTATCAGGTTTTCCCAGCACCATTTACTGTAAAGTCTGTTTGCTCCCTATTGAGTTTTAATATCCTTGCTGAAAATCAATTGACTGTAAATGTGTAAAATCTTTCTGGACCCTCTCCCGCCACAGTAGGCCACACCCTTTGCTGAGCCCCCAGCACATTTAACTTCCTCACCAAACTATAAGAGTTGTTAAGAGCAGTAAATATATTTTTATTTTTCATTGCACCCCTGTGCGTATTTGTTTGCAACACATAATAGGTTATCACTAATTATTAGTTAAATAAATGGCTGCATGGAAATAAGGTAATTACTCCCAGCTGACTCACAGTCTCATCATATACAGAATGGAGGAGGTGGACTAAGTTATTAAAGTCTTTCTGACCCTTGGTGCCCACCAAGCCATTGCTCTTTATTATCTGAAGCCTTTCCTTCCATCCTTTATATGTGGCCATTGAAATAGGAAAGACTAAAGACAAAAGTTACCTTCTTTTTTTTTTTCTTGGTTTTTTGAGACAGAGTCTCGCTCTGTTGCCCAGGCTGGAGTGCAGTGGCACGATCTCAGCTCACTGCAACCTCCGTCTCCCAGGTTCAAGCGATTCTCTTGCCTCAGCCTCCCAGGTAGCTGGGAATACAGGCATGTGCCACCACGCCTGGCTAATTTTGTGTATTTTTAGTAGAGATGGGATTTCACCGTATTAGTCAGGATGGTCTCGATCTCCAGATCTCATGATCCACCCACCTCGGCCTCTCAAAGCGCCGGGATTACAGGCATAAGCCACCACACCCGGCCCAAAAGTTACCTTCATAAATTCCATTGCTATGTGGGTAAGAAGCATCTTCTGAAAAATGCCAAAGTACATAAAGTTATTATTATATATTATTATTACTTTTCAGACAGGGTCTTGCTCTGTTGCCCAGGCTGCAGTGCAGTGCATGAACACAATTTATTGCAGCCTTGACCTTCTGGGTGTGAGTGATCCTCCCACCTCAGCCTCCCATGTAGCTGGAACTACAGGCACATGACACCATACCTGGGTAATTTTTTGATTTTTTTTTTCTTTTTTTTGTAGAGATGGGGTCACACCATGTTGGCTAGGCTGGTCTCAAACTCCTGGGCTCAACGATTCTCCTGCTTTGGGACACCTGAAGTGCTAAGATTACGGGAGTAAGCCACCATGTCTAGCATGAAGTTATTTTCGACAATCAGCAGTGGTTGTAGGGGAAAAGGGATTTTCATACCAGTAATGGTTTTTTAAAATCCATTATTGTGGTTCCCTTCTGAAAATCCTGATGCATTATTATACTGATGGATAGGTGGTCATGTTTGCCTCTTCTGAGTTATAGTTTAAGGTGAAACAGTATAAACAGGAAAAAAAAAGCCCAATTCTTCTTAGTATAAATGCCTTTAGAATGTCTTCCTCTAAAGTCTTTCCCATTTTCTCTTCCCACTTCCCCCACCACCCCCCCGCCACTACTTTTCTTTTCTCTTCTTGTTTTTATAACTAAAGATAATTCTAGCATCTTTCTTGCTCTCCTAGCCATTGAAGTAAGTCTATGGTATGTCAAATTCAGCATTGAGATACTTCAAACTTCAGGTTCTGCTCAAGAAAAATCATTAGTAAGTCACAGTAAGGTTATAGATTAATAAGATATATAGAAAGCTATATATCTACATATAGATTTAAAAATACATACAGATATTTGATGTATTCGTTAGTCTGTGTTGACGCCGCCTTTAAAATGAAACATGTCTGGTTCTTATTATATAAAACCTTGCATAGCTTAATTTGCTATACACATAGTGGACCTTCAGTATATTAGGGAAGAAACACTGACCCTCCTACAGTTCTACGATAAATTTAGTTGAAAATGACACCCTAAAGTTTCTAATGCAAACTAGGATATGACAATCACCTCTCCATATGAGTGAATTCAGATTTCTTTGCAGAACATTCTAAGCAAGCTAAAGAAGAATCCACACCAGGTGCGGTGGCCCAGGCCTGTAGTCCCAGCACTTGGGAAGGCAGAGGTGGAGGGATGGCTTGAGCTCAGGAGTTCAAAACCAGCCTGGGCAACATAGCAAGACCCTGACTCTACAAAAAAATACAAAAAGAATTAGCCGGGTGTGGTGGCATGCACCTGTGGTCCCAGCTACTTGGGAGGTGGAGGCGGGATGATCACTTGAACCCAGGAGGTCAAGGCTGCAATAAGCCGAGATTGTGCCACCGCACTCCAGCCTGGACAACAGAGTAAAACACCAAATCCCAAAATAATAATATTAATCATAAAGAAAGAAAGAAGAGTCCAACAGAAAAGGTAGCATTTGAAATAATCTTTCGAGTAGAACGATTCTTTCTCTTCCATCTCAAGATCTCCTTAAAAGTTTATTTTTACCTCCCTCGTTTCCTTGGCAGCCACACTTTCTTTAAAGATATGAGCGTCCCCTCGCACTTTAATGGGAATTTTCAATGACAGCTTGACTCATGAAGAAAGGCTAATACTACTACTTGTATAATTTATTACCATGGAGAGAGGGTAGGGGACAGAGAGAGAGAGAGAGAGAGAGAGAGAGAAGGTATCAGGACTTCAGTTGTAAGTAGAGAGATTTTATACAAAGAAGAATTTTCCATTCCTATAGGAAACTCCAGAAATTTTCAGGGATGGCAGAAGGCAGGCCAGAAATAAAGACCCTGCAGCTTTCTTGTCTTTTTCCTAAATGTAAGTGTAACAAATCCACTTAAGTACAGATGTTAACACCAAAAAGAGTTAAATTAACTTGACCATCTGTTAAGAAGAGTAATATGAAAACTCTAAACACCTTGCAACTCATTAACACTCAGGAGCAGCCTAGAGTTAGATCAGGAATCTCTGTGTAGGGTGATCTGTCTCACACTGTGTGTCTAACACTCATGAACAGCCTAGAGTTAGATCAGGAATCTCTTTGTAGCGTGGTCTGTCTCATACTGAACTCCAGTGAGGGTCAGAAAAACATGCCAGGGATCTGTAAAACCTCTAAGACAATTGCAAAATTGTTTTTGGTTTCATTTTGATTGATTTTAAAAAGAACTCCCAGAGCAAAATCTTAAGATGATCATATTCTAGGTCATCTGTGTCCAGAACTACCACAGCTTTTCATTCCATGCTTGCATTTATGAGGGCAACAAGTGAAAACAGAAAGTGAAAGCATTAACTATTAATGGTGCGTTTCTCTAGTGGGAATCCACCAATGTATTCCTGATCATCATAAGTTCACACACCTAAGAAACTCTGGCCGAAGAGATTTACTTTCACAGGTCTTGCAAAAGCTGGTTACTCTCGCACAATACTACCTTTGACAGTTTGCCAGTGCCTCAAATCTTTCCAGTAGAAATTTTAATTCAGAGTGGGGCTTTAATCCTTGTTGCAAATTAGATGATGTCTGTCTTGTAAGTAAACTTAACTCTTTACAAGGCTAGACATTTTATTGTTCTATTACCAATCATAACGAAAATGTCTAAAATTGCAGATGACAGTCAAAATTCATTTTTATAATCTTAACAAAAGTGTCATGTTTATAAAGTGAAAGTGAATAACTGGAAAATACAGAATAAAACTTGAGGCTCCATGCAATTTCTGTTGATTTTATGAATATTTAATTCACAATTAAGAGGGGCAAAGAAATACTTCCTGTGTTTCTAGAAATGCAAGAATTTACAGCTGGAGAAAACTTTTGCTACCACTTGTCCAAGCTTCTCACTTCACTGGGAAATAAACTGAGGCTCTGAGAGGTTTGCTCAGGAAATTAGCTGGAAAAGCTAAATCAGAAAGTCATGACTTTGTACTCATGGTCCTTAAGTAAAGTAGTACCCTGTATGATCTGTGTTTCACCTTTCATCAACAGTCATGTGCTAATCCTCCACAAATCAAGATAATTGTCAATTCTTTATTTCTAGGAAAACAATCCTATATGACTCTAACACTGTAAATAAAATGACATTTTATTTATGTTATCTGAAATTTGAAAAATCTTAAAATTTTTCCATTACATAAAACCTACTACAAAGCAAATGAAATACATATGCATACATTCCCAAACGATACCATGACTTCTGTGCCTGACTGCAGGGCATACAGTATATTACAAGGAGACAATTATATTGGGATTCTGAGTGTTACTAAAACCCATTTTCTATGAGCAATCTATTACAACAGAGAAGTGGCACTTGAAATAATGGAGGTCAGTTATACAAAAATGCTATGGAACCAAAAGACACATATGTTCTTGGATGCACCCTCCTTTTTCACCCCCATTCCTTTGCTCAAGCTGCCATGTTGAACCTTCTAACCAAATAAATTTCTTCTTCTATCCGTGCTGGGCAACATTCTTTTTTTTTTTTTTTTTTTTTTTTTTTTTTTTTGAGATGGAATCTTGCTCTGCTGCCCAGGCTGGAGTGCAGTGGCACAATCCCAGCTCACTGCAACCTCCGCTTCCTGGGTTCAAGCAATTCTCCTGCCTCAGTCTCCCGAGTAGCTGGGATTACAGGCGCGCGCCACCACACCCGGCTAATTTTTGAATTTTTAGTAGATGCACGGTTTTACCACGTTGGCCAGGCTGGCCTCGAACTCCTGACCTCAAGTGATCTGCTTGCCTCAGCCTCTTAAAGTGCTGGGATTACAGGCATGAGCCACCACGGCTGGCCCTAGGCAACATTCTAACCACCCTGCAAGGATGTTATCTTTCCCCTCCCAAATTCCCATGCCTTTTGCATTTTGCTGATAGCTACTATGTTCTCTTTGACATATATTTATTGGCATACCTGGTTTACATACTCCTTTCTGACAGAAATTGATTATAGCTAAGTAGAGTGCACATAATATATGGTTATTGAATTAAAGCAACATATGAAGTTTAGGGCAAAAGGGCTCTAAATCTGTCATAGTGGCTGTTCTCAAAATCTAACTTACTATCATTTTCCCTTACAGGTATATGTAAATGGCCACAGTAAAGTGATCACTATGAAGAATAAGGAGCAACACAGAAAAAATGCTTAAGATAATGTTAAATGAAAAAAGCAAAAACCAAAACTAGAATCTATTTATATTTGCAAATATTATAGATGCATATGTACAAAAAGTGGAAGGTAAAACAGAAAAATAAAAACAATTTACACTGTTTGGGTGATGGAACTACTGGCTTCTGTTAATGTGCTTATGTTTATACAATAAATTTTTTTAAATGTATGCATATGTAGTAATTAGTGATATTTATATTGGATATAGGTACTAATATTTCTGGACTATAAACAAAAAGAAAGCATATGTAGTTGTCTTATGTCTAATGTCTCTCAGCTTGTTGGGCTGCATGGACACATTTAAAGAACTGTCACTACCTGGTAGCTACCAGAACTGCAGAGTTGGTACCTGAGAAGGCACTTTGCAAGTTGGCAGTTGGCTGGTAAGTCAACTTTTACAGTCAAAACAAGCATGCAAAAAAATGTTCAAAGAACCAAAACACATGTCATCCACTGAAACTGAAAATATAGCAAACATTATATTTCTTCAGGGCACACAGGAATATTCTTAGAGTCCAGTTTACAGTTTTCTATTCCCATCCAAAGGCAAATATTTATTTCTTAATGTTTCTCCTATAAGGCATATTATTTCTAAGAAAGCTTGTTTTATTTCCTATTTGTACTCTTATCTTCTAAATATACCTAAATTGCTATTTTCAGATGTGTTGTCTCTGCTTATACATTTGATTTTGTAAAATAAATTATTATGTTAAACAGCATTATCATCTTTGTTGGAAAATCAAATAACAAGCAGAAATTAATAGATTCTTTTTTTGAGCATGTTAATTGAAAAGTCAGTGTTTCTATGAATGAGGTATACATACCCTGCCTCAGAAAACAACTGCCTAAATCATTAACAACGTGACTAAATGCTAAATGCCCCAATGATCTCCAACTCGGTATTATTCACTGGATTGATTTGGAACTGCTTCTTTATGCAGAAAAATTGAATTATATTTTTTTACTGCTAATTTTGTGATTTTACCAACATGATGATTTTAGATGAAGAAAGTAATTTGGCACAGCATTTTAGAAAAATAAGTTCAATCAATAACTTAGACTTTTATTAAATGAACATATTTTAAATTATTTGTATAATCCAATAAATCCTACTTGTCCCATTCAAGCATCATCCAGGACAAGAACAAAAGAGGCTGATTTATTAGACATATGTTAGGCTGAAGAATTTTCTCAGAATTCTTGGTTAGGCTGCGATAAGAACACAAATTTCTCTAAGTATGCTGAACAATGCTTTAGGGCATACTTAGAGAAGATGCTATAAAAAAGCTTTATTGCATCACACACATGGAACCAGATTCTCCCTCTCATGGGCTGTAGCCAGCATGAAGTTCACACTACATTAATTTGCACTTGTCGATATGCTGCTTTGCAAGTATTCTTAAGGCATGTTCTAATGTGTACTCTGACTCCTCAACTAGAATATAAACTCCCTAAGGGTAGGACCTGGGTCTCCTAGTTATTACCCCCACAGTGTCTAGCATACTGGTCTGGGTAAGCCAAGCCCTCTGGAACTGCTGTTGTCTTCGTAGGGAGCAGGGACAAGAATGTGCTAAGTCTACAGACTGAAAGAGGGTGTGAAGAATACTGGAGAGCAACTCTGTCATCACCAGGACCGAGTGATTACATGTACCAAAGGCAGGCCCAAATGGCCCCTCTCCCAGTCATTTTGTAGAGGGAGAAGTGAGACTGCAGGTGGTAGTTGGATAAGTTTCTGAAGTCTGGCTCTTGAGAAGTCATCCATTATCTTAGCATATTCCCCAAAAACCTTCTGAAAAAGAGTACACAGCTTTAAAGACACAAAGCAGAGAATAGAACGGAACAGGATTTTACTTTAATCTGTAAGTGCTAGGTTTCAAGTAGAAAAGACTAACACTGCTGTTACCCACTTTTAAAAGATACAACGATGTCTTTCTAGGACGCTTCCAGAATCAAATAGAAGACTGGACCTCAGAGGTCCATGAGCTGGGTCTTCAGGTAAATCATATTGCTGCTACTATTTAAAACTAAAACTTCCAGGGAAAAGGTTCCATGGCCTGTTGCAGCAATTTCAATCTCCTTACTGTCAGAAAATTCTTGTTTCAGGCTATTGTGATTTGTAGTTGCTGTAGTTAAATCCCTTTGTTCTTGTTCTGTCCATATTGAAGACTCAAATCAGGTGTTTAACTTTTTCCTTGAAATAATTTGTCAAATCCTTGAAGATGTGAAGCAATGTTGAAGTCTTCTCTAAGTAAAAGGTACAATTCTTCAACTTTTCTTTATTGCTTTTATATTTCTCTAACTTTAAAAAGGACTGACATAGGCCGGGCGCAGTGGCTCACGTCTGTAATCCCAGCACTTTGGGAGGCCGAGGCAGGTGGATTGCCTGAGCTCAGGAGTTCAAGACCAGCCTGGGCAACACGGTAAAACCCTGTCCCTACTAAAAAACAACAACAACAACAAAATAGCTGGGGGTGGTGGCGTGCTCCCATAGTCCCAGCTACTTGGGAGGCTGAGGCAGGAGAATTGCTAGAACCTGGGAGGCAGAGGTTGCAGTGAACCGAGATTGCACCACTGCACTCCAGCCTGGGCGACAGTATGAGACTCCGTCTCAAAAAAAAAAAGAAAGAAAAAAGGACTGACTTTTAGGGCTTGCAGGCAGGCCTTCTTCTCCTTACACAAAGCCATACAATATAGATGCACTTCTTCCAACAGTCTAGTTAATTCAACTGAATTTAGGCGATAATTCCTGTGTCCTTACACTCCATCCTTAATGTCAGTGTCCAAGTGCTGAATCACTGCTGTAGATATGAGCAACCCTCAAATCCTTTTTTGCCCTCATTTTTCCAGCCAAAATTTTTGGATCTATTTCTTTTGCAGAGATACCCCACCCTGAATATTTGCTTTGATTGCTCCATTAAAGTCATTTCAAACTTGATGTTTTCTACTCAGTAGTAGCCACAACTCCAAAATTATAATTTATACAATGCCGGTAAAAAAAAAAAAAGAAAGACGCTTTCTATATCAGCCTTCTTATCTCTGAAAAATAAAATTGGAACCAACCTAAAAACAAAATTGTAAATATAAAATCATACGGTATTTACACTCCCATCCAAGCCACTAGTAAGTCATGTGCCACTAATAAGAAAATGCCATGATTATCAGTGATACACTCGCTGAGTAATGCCATTAGATTTTTAAGAGACTAAAGATGTGGCACATTTGTTATACTGCAAAATACTCTAAAACCATTGTTATTATTTAAGATACATGGGTCTTCAAACTCAAAGCTCAGCATCCTAGTAAGTCAGAGGAAACTTAAAAAATACAGTTGTATTTCTATACTCAAGGTAGGGATTGGCAACTTTTTCTGTAAAGGGTCAGACAGTAAATATTTTAGGCTTTGTGGGCTATATGGTCTCTACCACAACTCCTCAACTCTGCTGTTGTTGCAGGAAGTAGCAATAGGTGATACATATATGAGTAGGTATGGCTGAGTTCTAATAAAACTTTATTTGTAACATAGACAGCAGGCCAGACTTGACCTATGAGCTGTAGTTGGCTAACACTTTTTTATGAATACTGGGCACATTAGCATATTGAATATGCATATGTGTCTGTATATGTGAGTGGGGATATATACACATATATTAGTATGCAAAATCTCCATTTGCCCATCCCCCTGGTTATGGCAGTTTCTTGGGCACGTGATCAGTGCAGTCACACATGTGCTGTTCAGAAGGGTCCTTACACTTGCAGTTTAATACTCTGTGGTCAATGTCTTGAAATTATTAGCAATTGTATCTTAGAATTGTGTTTTTTTTTTTTTGTTTTGTTTGTTTTGTTTTTATCCAAGACAGGGTTTCGCTCTTGTTGCCCAGGCTGGAGTGCAGTGGCGTGATCTCGGCTCACCACAACGTCCGCCTCCTGGGTTCAAGCAATTCTCCTGCCTCACCCTCCTGAGTAGCTGGGATTACAGGCATGTGCCATCATGTCCGGCTAATTTTTTTTTTTTTTTTTTGTATTTTTAGTAGAGACGGGGTTTCTCCATATTGGTCAGGCTGGTCTCAAACTCCCGACCTCAGGTGATCCGCCACCTCGGCCTCCCAAAGCGCTGGGATTACAGGCGTGAGCCACCACGCCCGGCTAGAATTGTGTTTTGTAGGTGTACTCTGATGGAACAATGGAGACTGAACTCCTGTATGTGGTCTCATCTTTCCACTGCCTCACTGCAGCCCTACGCAGTTCTCAGAAATATACTCCTCTCCAGCTTCCTCTATCCCGCCCTGCCCTGCTGCTGGGGTGGGTCCCTCCACCTAGGGTGGGACCAGGGCACTGGGGGAGGTGCGTATGTCACTGGGGGAGGTGTGTGTTCTCCTGTGTCTTTTGCCCCTGGCAGAATCCTGAATGTGTGTTTAGAGAGGATTGAGTCAAGTGTGCCCATCCCTGCCATCTTAGAGCTGGACAGGGAGGTAAGAATTCCCGCCCCAGGCCGGGCGCGGTGGCTCATGCCTGTAATCCCAGCACTTTGGGAGGCCGAGGCCGGCGGATCAAGAGGTCAGGAGATCGAGACCATCCTGGCTAACACGGCGAAACCCCGTCTCTACTAAAAATACAAAAAAAAAAAAAAAAAAAAATTAGCCGGGCGTGGTCGTGGGCGCCTGTGGTCCCAGCTACTCGGGAGGCTGAGGCGGGAGAATGGCATGAACCCGGGAGGCGGAGCTTGCAGTGAGCCGAGATCGCGCCACTGCACTCCAGCCTGGGCGACAGAGGGAGACTCCGTCCTAAAAAAAAAAAAAAAAGAAAAAAAAAAAAAATGCATGTCCAGCCTGGGTTGGTGAGGGAGGAGGGGCAAGGAGAGAGAGACTGAAGAAGAAAGGAAAATGTTTTATATTTTAGTTCTTTTTAATATCACTTCTTTCCTGCTTTCTGAACAAAAGGGTCCTGTATTTTCACTTTGCACTGGGCCCTAATCAAAGGTTAGCGGCTATAAAGAATCGTCTTCTCAGATTAATTTACCAAAAGGGAAGTTGACAAAAAAACTCTATTTCTGCATCACTCATTTCAGGTCAGCTCATCCTTGTCATGTTAGGGCCTCCTGCAACATGTCCAAATCTTAAATACAAGGCTGTGAAATTAATGCTGAATTTGGGGTTTCGGATGCGAGGAAGCTCCTTTTGGGATATGATTATCAGGAATGCTGCGTGGTAGCCATTTCCTTCACATACTTTGCTGTAGGATTAATTTATACCTCTTTAGAATGACAATGAGGCATTTTATAAAAATAAAGCATAATCAAAACATTATGTACAAAATTTAACAGACAACAACAAAGAAAGATGAAATTTTACTAAGAGTTCTGTTTATTTCCTATTAAAAAGGGTAACACCAGAAAATTGGACATACAAAAACATACTTGTTCTCCTAATTTGAATAAACCAACTGTAAAATCAACATTTTTGAGACAAAGAAATGTGAATATAGGCTGGGTGTTATTTGATATTAAAGAAGTATTGTTAACATTGTTAGGTATGATAATGACATAGTATGTAAAAATATCCTTCATAGATCCACATGGGTATTTATGAGTAAAATAACATAAGGTCTGAGATCCATTTAAAATACTTCTGCAAAAGAAGAAAAAGAGGTAGAGGAAGAAGACAGAAGAAGATGAAGATGAGAAGGTGGAGCAGAAAAAACATGACAAAGAAGATGAAGGTGACGATGAGGACAGAAGTAGAGAGAAAAAAGTGAGATAGATGGAATAGGATTGAGGAGGAGGACTGGCAAAATGATGAGTGATGGAATAGGATTGAGGAAGGGGACTGGCAAAATGATGAGTGATGGAATAGGACTGAGGAAGAGGACGGGCAAAATGATGAGTGTAGGTGATGGAAATGTGAGGACTCATTACAATATTCCCTATACCCTCATACATGTTTTTAAATTCCCCTGATCGAGTGTGTGTGTGTGTATAACCATTGCCTAAAAAAATTTCTCATAAAAATCAAAGAGCATATTTCACATTCTCCTCCATACCAAATGCCTCTTTTTCTGGTGCAAGAAGCATCCTCTGAGGCTGACAGGAATTCTCTAAGCTGAAGAGATACAAAGGAGTTGATGGGAAGGATAATCCGCCCATCGGTTCCTGACACAATATAAAGAAGAAAAGAAGAAAGTGGGTGGAAGCGACTGCCATTGTTACTCTCCTAACCTTTCCTTCTAATTATGCCAGAGCCAAGGCTCAGGTCACAAGGAAAATTATTTTGGTGGTTAACCATTTGCCCTATTTTGTATACATCAAAAAAGCTGTTGTTCTCACACATTCCAATCTCACAGTTTCCCACCCACTTTAAAAATGTATCAAGTGGTCAGATGAACTAAAATATGAATAAAATGACTATATTATGAAGAACACCTTGTTTGCAAACCTACAGATAGCCTGCTTGTGATGCTGAATTGTAAGATACACAACACTTAAACATTTAATCTACTTTATATTATTGTAGGTATTTCAGATAAATGCTCAACATGCCCCGCTTTTAAAAGTTAAATGTAAATTTCTCTCTTGAGTGCAGATGGTGGCCAAGCAAAGTAGTTCTTTGGTCTCACAGACAGAAGGTCAGGTCATGGCTGAAAGACCAAAGAACAATTGCTGCTTTGCTACTCCAAATCATCCATGGAATGAGACACCACGACTTCTTTTCTGAAACTGTCTGTTCAATACAAAACAGTTAAAAAGAGTACCTATAAGATTTCCTCACATTCCGTCTGGGAAAAAAAAATGGTAACAAGCACATCACTTCACAACACATCACAAACATCTTGTAACTGTTCAGAGGTTTTATTCCTAAAGCTGTGACCTCCTAAAAAGGCACATCTCTATCTAAAAACATACCACTAAACGTCATTATGAAAACTACTATTGTTTCACTATTATCAGAAAACGTTTACAAATGAAAACTGCTCCTTGTAAATCCTGCAACTTTAGCCTCCATACCATCACGGATTAATTAAAATGAGATTTAATACTGCAAATACTTCTAATATTGCAAATGCTTCTAAACAAGTTATTCCTTTACAAGTGATATTATACTCCTATTGTCCCTGATCTTTTTTCCTCTAGAAAATTATAATGGAATTTTAAATAACTGAGACTCTTTCCTGATGTATTTTTGCAGTTAGTCCAAAATATTATGCTGTCAGAATGCTGTAGAATAATACGAAAGGCCAAAAGTATGCCAATATATTGATTCCTTTTTAAAAAATTACAATATATCAGGAAAGAAAAGTTATCTGTGATAAACTTAGTAGACCTAGGCCTTCAGTCCCTGACAGAAAGCATTTTCCATTCCACTATCAGGCACGCCCCCAACTGGATGCAATAAAATGTTTCATTATTTGTACATGTTAATAATTAAAAGTCTTCTGAAAATGTAAAACCCATTACAACACCAAATATAGTGGTACAAAAGCAGAATTTTACTTTGGTTGCCAGGATTTTAATTTAGTACTAAGGATTTCAGTTATGACTTGAAAAGCTTTTTGTTCTAGTCTTCATTATCACTTTCATTTTCAATACTTTTCCCAATTGTCTTTGCATCATTTGTTGTAAAGACTTCATTGGCTCAAAAGAGAAAATATGTTGGAAAATATGATGAAAAACCTCGAACTAGAAACATATTTGAAAAAAAACTTATTTGGAGCGACCTACTTCTAAATTCTAAAACAATTATTTTAAAATATTGACACTAAGAACCCAGTCTTACTATTTTAATTGAATAAACAACCTGCTTTCATTGAATACAAAGAATGAAAACCTTCAAGGTCCTGTACTGTAACATAAAAATAGAAAATCAAAAGTCAGCCTATTAGAACTGCCTCTCTAAAAACTTTATCCATGTTGTCAACTAAAATTGGAGTTATCTACTTCATCTCAATAAAGATATAACATAAAACATCTGTTCAAACTGAAATTAAAGTACGCAGCTTTTATCCACTAACATTTCTAATGTCACTGTATTTAGGCTTCATGAACAAACGTATTCATGGTTATCTTAGTTAAAACTGGTTTCACTCTGCCAACAATCAATTTGATTGACATATTTACATATCAACTCATCTCATCTTACGAATTTTAAACTTTTTCATTTAAAATTGGATTCAAGTTGGCATCTTTCAAGAACTTTATGTATGTATATTTTAGGTTCAAACTGTGCATTAGAACATTTCTTTTTACTTTTGTAAGTAATAGATACACATATCCAAATGTATATTTATGACCTGTCAGATTGGAATTTTATATGCATGCTGTTGTATTCTCACCATTCATGTGAAAGGTGATAATTTTAGGCAACTATAAAAGAAATTTTCCTAACAGTGTAAACTGGATCATCCCATTAGTTAGAAACAATACAAATAAATAAATTAGGAATAAAACAACATCAACTTGAGAAAGAATGTTACTCATATCTATAATTGCTGCAATTATGCTGTGTCCTCTCTTACCTGATCTTTAATTTCAAGATCCCTGTTAGTTTTTGCTCTGAACTCTCTGTGCTCCTTTTCTGCCTCATCCTTCTCCATGTTGGTTTTATTCAGCTGATAGCGCATTTCTCCACACACCTGTTAGATTGTAAAAAACTGGATGATTACCTGCTGGAATCTACCAGGCAATGCCTGCAATTAGATCTTTTGGTGCCCCCTAGAGGTCATATAGATAAAATACAACAAAACTTTTCTAAGAATGCCATTTTCTATTAGACTATTCAACGTAGCTTGTTAAGATTCAGAAGCAACACCAGGGATTATTGATTCTAACAACTTGAAATTACAGATAAATAAATGCATAACTAAGGAATTTAAGTAATGTGCCCAAGATTATTTTATATAACAGTTTCAATTGCATATTATCAACCAAAATGCACTATCATCTAACCTTTAAATAGGTAAAGTTAGTAGTTAAAATGTTAAGCTATGTTATTATTCATTCACATTGATACAGTTAAATATTCACTCTATATTACAAAGTTTTCTTTTAAAGACTTCATCAGTTATGCTCTTTAAAAGGAAATGTATAAAGGAATTTTTGTCTGCTGATAGATATACTATTGATATCTAGGTCTGTAATATCCAGTATTGACTGCAAGGTTTGCAGATGTCATCTTATCATACACAATATGAGGTATTCAAGTTAAGGAAGATTTTCTGGCAAAAGCCATAGACTGGAACTAAGCACACTATGCACTTATGACTGTAACATTCAATATAAAAGGAAAATATGCATTTAAATGAAATAATTGTAATACGGCACCAATAATGAACACACATAGTATCTTAAAAGTGTTGTGTATCATCCTCTATACTTAACACTAAGAACTTTGTTTTATTTATTTTTTCGAATCTAGGACTGCTACAGAAATGGAAATATATTTGAAAAGTGTAATTAGCAGATAAATCTAAACAAGCAAATTATGGGCCTTTTGAGAGAACTGAGAACCTATAGAAAGTTCAATTAATGTACAAGTCAGCTAAGTTGGCTTCTAATTTACAAATATATGGCTCTTAATATATTATCTCACCGTTATGCTTTCTTGGAACTTTTCAAGTATTTGGTATTTCTCCAAAAATAATGATTTTGGAAACTTTAGAAATCAGTTTCATCATTACTGAGGTATTAGAATAGACTAAGGTATAAAACCTATATGCATTTAAGCTGGGTATGGTAGCGCATGCCTGTAGTCCCAGTTCCTCTGGAGGCTGAGGCAGAAGGATGGCTTCAGCCCAGGAGCTCAGGACTGCAGTGTACTGTGGTAGTGTCTGTGAATAGCTACTGCACTCCAGCCTGCACAATACAACAAGATCCTGTCTCCAAACAAACAAAACAGAACCTTAAAAGTAATTTTAAAAATAAATTAATCTATGTTTAAAAGCTATAGTGACAAGACAGAAGAAAAAGTCAACAGGCTTCTCCCTAGTAGCCCTCAGAAAGCTAGAACAATAATGAAGTTATTAAAAATTCTATTGGAAGTTCAAATGCCTTCAATGTGAGAGAGTTTATTCCTCCGATTTCAAAAATTATAAATTTATAAAAACTATTAATTTTAAACCTAAATAAAAATTACAAATTCAGAGTGACAGGAAAAAAATGAGGAGCCATACTTTATTTTCTTTCTCAATTGTTCACTATTAATATTTATGTCTATGAATAAAATGGAATAAAACCCCGAACTGATAACATCAGAAGATAATAATTATACAACCATGATGTTTAAAACCCAACACCAATACAAGCTGGTTATGTAAAAACTGTTTAAGCAGCAGGTCTTATTTAAAATTATTTTATCCCTTCATTTCACTCCTACAGTTCCCTGCTTTACTACTTTCAGTTCAGCATTTGCTATGTTTATCCACAGCACTCAAATTCTATTTCAAATAAATTAACACATTAAATTGAACCAGAACTATGTTATCTCCACGTTGGAAGCAACTTCAAGGCGATTTAGTCTAATCGCTCTTCTGATGTATATGTCCTTTCAGCTAGTTCTTGAGACAGAGAACTCTCTCTCTGCTGTACTGATTTCAACAGAAAGCTGCCTCTCTATTATCAACTGAAAACTGTCTTATCATAGCTTTCACCTATAAATCTAGGTTAAGTATTCCCATCCTTCTGAACTAATTCCTTCACTTCCACCCTATCTCCACACAAAAATTTGAGCTTCTTAAACTTCTACATTAGCTAATAGGAATTTTTAAAAGCAAATGGAGAATTATAGAAACTCAAGAAAAAGGGTAAAATGGCTCCCTTTCCTAATACATGTTAAAATTAATTTTAATTACTGAATTATAGAGCAACAATGGCATTACAAATATGTCAAAATTTAGGAAAATCCATTGAAGAATAAAAGGTAATATGCAAAGAGTATTTTAAGCAAATTATCTGTGTTTTTAGTGGTAAAAAATAAATTGATTTTATTAGTTTCTTAGTTTTAAAGCAATTAACTATTGAAATCTAGATGGACTTCTAGTATTTCTTACAATATGTATCTTAATCATTGCCAGTAAAGACCATTAAACATTTTAGTTCTTGATTCACGAACCAGTGATGCCCATAGCACAGACAATGTAGTATTTTAAAGTATAAATTTAAGCACCAATAAGATCATGTAGTATTAGAATCTTTATTTTAATGACCAAGTCTGAAAAGGAAAAGGAAGTGGAAGATTTTTTATGTCAAGCACACCTTTTAAGTTGTCAATATATGTCTTTGGCAATTATTGTAAACACCAACCTTATGCTATCTACGGCAAAAACAAAGCACTCTTAATTAATTTAGAAAAATGAGGTTTATCAAATATTCAATAATTAAAGTAATATAACTCTTATTTATTTGTAAGTCTGTCTCTGCCACTTAACCCTTAAGCTCTTCAAGGCCATGACTGGTGTCTAATTCATCCTTGCACATGCAATACCCACTGAGGGGCTGCATGTAGTAACTGAATGTTTGCTGAGTAACCATTAGGTGGCCTTTTATTATTCTTGAAATCACAAAACTTTTCTACTCCAAACTTCCTCCTGATAACAGTAAGAGTTTTGTACATTAGGAAAACATTTTTCAAAGGAAATATTTCCTTAAGTAACGATTACACTAAAATCTCTTTCTGTACCTTTGTGACATCCATTTCCCGAGAAGCCAGCTGGCTTTGAATTTCCTCCAGTTGATTAATAGCTGAAATCTTTTCCTTTGTAACCTTTTCCACCTGGGCCTCCAGTTGGGCAATATTCTGAGACAAGATCAACATCTGTAAGGGAAAATAAAAGTCCTAAACAATAATGTCATTTGACAAATCAAATACTAAAACTTTCTTGAATTAATAGCGTCTCAGCATAGTCACTGGGCTCTGTGAGCCATTTCTCTGTGGATTGGGTATGTTCATTTTTCTCCTTCCTCTATTCACCTATGCCCAGTGAACTGAAATATGTACTTCTCTCCTATTCATTCCCCTGATCTCTAACCTCATTTTGAAAAATGTATAACAAGATGATAAAGTCAAGGTTTTGGTTGAAACCCTAAAGTGACAGTTATCAAACACCCAATTAAGTTATGAAACAGAGTGCCATAAATAAATTCAGAGGAGATACAGAAGCATACAACTCTTAAACCCTTCTTCCACATGGAAGGTATAAAAGGACTGATGGGGAGAGTTAAGGAGGAAGTTCTTTAGAGAGAGCAACTGGTCTGCTATGGCTCCCACTACCCTTCCCGCAAACCAACAAAGAAGAGGCTCTGTGCAGTGCCCTTTGTTGGTAAAACCCCAACCGCCCCCCTATTATCTAGTTCTCCCTCATTTCTCATGTAGGTTTCAGCTCAGCCATTATCTCCTCTCCTCTAGGAAGTCTTCCTTGACTCCAGTTCCCAGCACAAAATAGGTGACCCTTCCCACGTTCAGGGTTGATATTCAGCTTGTGTGCACTGAGACAGTCATGCCTGTTGTTTGTAGCCTGTGTCCACTCTCACTGTTTCCCACACTGTAAAGATTAATATTTTGAATATCACTATGGCATGTGCTCCTACAATCTCAGTATATATACCTCCATCACACCACAACCTCTGTGTACCTCAACCACAGTACTCATCCCACTGTTTTTAGTTGTCTGTTTCCTCATTAGAGTAGAAGTTCCTCAAGAGGTACCAAATATTTGATGAATGAGTAAATACTTAGAATAAATGGCTTTCCAATGGACTCTATGGGTATTAGGTTCTCAGTTTTTCTTCTCAAGATTAGAAATGCTTTCTAGATCTTAGATTTATCCTTTATAGTTTCTGGTTTCCAATTATGTTTTGTTCTTTTCCAGGAAGTCACTCTTCTAGGCTCTTAATGTCATACTGTACTGGCAGTTTTTAAAATGTAGAAGCAGCAGAACATATAGGAATACCTATCAATTTTTATCTGTTAAAACAAGAACTGGTGACACATTTTAAATAATGATGCTTGAAACTTACCATTGTATGCTGACATGGGTGTGAATTCAGTTTTATAACTTAAATCAATTACTAAAATTCTATGATAAAAATCAACATTGAACCAAAGTTTTAGTAAATTAAGAACCTGACATCAATAAAACGAAGATAGGTGTCTGCCTTCGAACTACAGAACTAGTTAAAGTTGACCCTATGAAAATAATTTAGGCAGATATATTAATTAACTTTCTGAAGGTAGTGGAGAATTTCATATTTGACTTATGGTTTTTTACACATCCCTATCATCAAAGGATTGTCTACAAATCTAATTTTCACATACAATTAGCTTTACTAATAACAAACTAAAAAATATTCTTGGGCACATTACAATATAAAACTAAGGTTGAAAAGAAGTTAAATATAACATCAAAAATATCAATTTCATTTCAATTTAAAATTTCGAGTTCATGAGCATATATATTATGAATGTGTAATTATAGCTTTTCTGGAACCATATGACAGGAACAAACTTTAATTACCAGCTACTAAAAATCATATTTTACTTATTTATGTGGACATACATAACTGATGGTAAACAACATTGTATGGTTTTTGAAGTAAATATACCGACATTTATTTTGCTAATTATAAATTCTAGTCCATTTCTCTTCTAAGGCATGTCACAAATCTCTCCCCTTCCTTAGGATTCCTCCCTCTGCCACCCATCATTCCCTTCCTCTGCCCACTAGCTGTCTGCTCCCTCCTGCCGCCCACCCCACTTTCTGAGGTCCTCTGCCCACTAGCTGTCTGCTCCCTCCTGCCGCCCACCCCACTTTCTGAGGTCCTCTGCCCACTAGCTGTCTGCTCCCTCCTGCCGCCCACCCCACTTTCTGAGGTCTCCCCTCCTGTTGTCACACCTTCTTTTCCTCCCCACCCACCATCTGGAAGTCAACATTACACGGCAGGAGCTTCTCCATCCACATCTGTTGCAGAGCCAGAAGTAACACAGACACAGCTGCAACACTGCTGGATGTCCAGGACGTTGACATCAGGTGAGTCCTTTAAACTTTGACAGGGGCAAGGAAGAGACAAGGACACCCAGGTTGGGAGAGGCTGATAGAAATTTCTGCAGAGCAGTCCCTAGTGTATTGAACCTGGTATGAAGCTGTACTCCCTATGCAAGAGATACAAGAATTAAGGATTTTAACAATGGATACTGTCAAGGAAAGCAATTGAGAAAACGTGTGGACCTCAGGGGGTGCTCAATAAATAAATGATCAATGACTGAATGAAGTAACAAAGCTGAGTGCTCAGTGCAACACCAAGGACCATTATTGAAGATAACACACAAACTCACAGCAAGAACTGTTGATGGGGAATGATTCAAACCTGTCTAGGTAGAAGGCATCTGTTCTCCGACAGCTTCCCACACAAATGGAATTTAAAAAAAAAAAAAAGAAAAGTAAGGGAGGAATAAAAAAAACATAGAAAGAAAGAAAATCTATACGTTTCACAAGTATTCCTACAGTTAGGAAAGCAGAGATTCTTGTTCTAGCACTAACTTTAACTGCCTAGCACTTACAATGTTATGATTAACTGGTCAGTCATTATGTTCTTGGGCCAGGCAGTGTGATATGCATTCTCTCTTTAAATCCCCTTAGAAAGGCCGGGCACTGTGGCTCATGCTTGGAATCCTACTGCTTTTGGAGGCTGAGGCAGGAGGACTGCCAGGAGTTCAAGACCAGCCTGGGCAACATAATGAGACCCCAATTCTACAATTTTTTTTTTTAGTTAGCCAGGCAAGGTGGCACACGCCTGTAGTCCTAGCTACTTAGGAGGCTGAGGCAGGGGGATTGCTTGAGCCAAGTAGTTTGAGGATACGATGAGCTATGATCACACCACTGCACTCCAGCCTATGTGACACAGTGAGACCCTGTCTCTAATAATAATTAAATCCCCTAGAGAAGGAATTATATGGAATTAATTTTCATTTGAAAAAATGAGATTCAGAAAACTAAGTAACTTGCCCAAGTTCATTCAAACTAATAAGTAAAAGGTAAAGCTGGGCTTTATATAAAAGTCTGTCTGCTTTTACTAACATGAAGGGCCAAGAAATCTATCCAAGAAGGCTCCGTCTCTCTTTCTCTAAAACAACAGCCACAAGCTAAAATTTATTAAATGCCCACGGTAAGTCAGACATTATATTAGATATTTTCTAAACATTATCTCACTTAATCCTATCAATTCTTGATGTATTATTAACTTTATTTACTCCTCTGAAACTTAGAGAGGTTAAGTGAATTGTTCAAGGTCACAGAAAGGTCAAGCTGGATTCAACTCTAAATCCTTTTACTCCAAAACCACTTTCTGCCATTTCCTGGTGAGAGCTGGGACCTCAGTGCTAGGACCACTGTGAGCTCTTTATTCATACATCTTTATTTAGAGCAGGATCTTGAGATCAAATGTCAGCCAGGGCTTACTAGGGACAAAATCAACTTCAATGACTCTAGCTCAGATATGTATTGTATCGAATAGAGATCCAGAAATAAAGCCACACACATACAGCCATCTGATCTTTGACAAACTTGACAAAAATGTGCAATGGGGAAAGGATTCCCTATTCAATAAATGGTGCTAGGATAGCTGGCTAGCCATATGCAGAAGAATGAAACTGGGCTTTTACCCTTTACCATATACAAAAATTGACCCTAGATGAATTGAAGATTTAAATGTAAGATATCAAACTATAAAAATCCTAGCTGAAAACCTAGGAAACACCATTCCGGGTGTTTCCTACATGGGCCTTGGGAAAGAATTTATGACTAAGTTCTCAAAAGCAATTGCAACAAAACCCACCAATTGACAAGTGGGACCTAATTACACCAAAGAGCTTCTGCACAGCAAAAGAAACTATCAACAGAGTAAACAGACAACCTACAGAATGGGAGAAAGTACCCACAAATTATGTATCAGACAAAGGCCTAATATCCAGAATCTATAAAGAAAGTAAACAATTGAACAAGCAGAAAACAACCCCATTAAAAAATGAACAAAAGACATGAACAGACACTTCTCAAAAGAATACATACAAATGGCCAACAAACATGAAAAAGTGCTCAAGATCACTCATGAATGATATGGTTTGGACTTCTGCCCCCGCCCAACTCTCACATCACACTGTAATCCCCGATGTTGGAGGGGGGCCTGGTGGGAGGTGATTGGATCGTCGGGGCAGTTTCCCCCTGGCTGTTCTCATGATAGCGAGTTCTTACAAGATCTGGCTGTTTAAAAGTGTGTAGCGCTTCCCCCTGCTCTCTCTTCCTCCTGCTCCAACCACAGAAGACATGCCTGCTTCCCTTCCACCATGACTGAAAGTTTCCTGAGGCCTCCCCAGCCATTCTTCCCGTTCAGCCTGCAGAACCATGAGCCAATTAAAGCTCTTTTCTTTATAAATCACCCAGTTTCAGGTATTTCTTTATAGCAGTGCGAGAACAGACTAAAACACTAATCATCATAGAAATGCAAATCAAAACCACAATGAGATCCCATTTCACACCAGTCAGAATGGCTGTTATTCAAAACTCAAAAAACAACAGACCATGCAGAGAAAAGGACACTTCTGCTCTGTTGGTGGAATGTACATTAGTTCAGCCACAGTGGAAAGCAGTTTGGAAATTTCTCAAATAACTTAGAACCTACCATTCTACCAGAAATCCCATTACTGGATATATATTCAACAGAAAACAAATTGTCTTACCAAAAAGACACATGTACTTACATGTTCATTGTAGCACCATTCACAATAGCAAAGACATGGAATCAACCTAGGTGCCCATCAAGAATGGACTGGATAAAGAAAATGTGGTACATATACACCACTGAATACTATGCAGCCATAAAAAAGAATGGAATCAGGTCTTTGGCAGGAACATGGACGCAAGTGGAGGCCGTAGTCCTAAGTGAATTAACGCAGGAACAGAAAATCCAATACTGCATGTTCTCACTCACAAGTGGGAGCTAAGTATTAGGTACTCACGGATATAAAGATAGCAACAACAGAAACTGGGGATGACTAGAGAGGAGAGGGAGGGAGTGGGGTAGGGGTTGAAAAACTAACTATTGGGTACTATGCTTATGTAGGGGGTGACAAGATAATTTGTAAACCAAACCTCAGCATCATGCGATATACACAAGTAAAAAACCTGCACATGTACTCCCTTGAATCTAAAAGTTAAAAATAAATAAATAAATAAATGATACATAAAAAATGTGCTGCATTTCTGTCACCACCTTTATTCATGAAACAACTGTCAGTAAAAGAGAGGTTCTGTTACATATGAAGGCACCTGGAATACTGCCAGGCACACTTCAGCCTTCGTTTTTCCTTTCTTATCAGGAATTCTCATCAACATACTTCTACACAGTAGAACTACTCAGCAAGGCAAATGGTTTCCAGCAAACAACCAAAAAATACAAATTTCCTAGGCGTGAACAATAGCTGGTGTTTGCTATTGATACCATTCTCTCTCACACAACACTCAATTCGCAACTTCATCTCCCTTCCATGTCTTATTCATATTGGTTACAGGTGGCGTTCCTTCCCCCATACTCTGCGTTTCTAAACCCCATCTATTCTTGGAAGCTCAACGAAAATGCCATTTTTTCCCCAAAGCCTTCCATGATCTCTTGCAGACAATCAGTTCTGATCCTCTGAACTCTCAGCATTTTAGCCATAACTTCCCAATGGCATAGGGACTTTTTTCTTTTCCTTGTAATTCATTCCTTCATTCATCTAATATATACTGAGCACATTTTACATGAGAGGAATGTGCCAGGCATTGAGGATGTTACATGCAAGGGACTCACTGAACTAGGGGAGGCAAGCTATTCGACATGAATTTGTAATGAAGTGAGCTATGGGAGCCCACAGGAGACGGTCCCAATTCAGCTATGGGAGGCGCGGAGACGAGGTGGTACCAAGAAAAGTTCTGGGCCACGCGCAGTGGCTCACGCCTGTAATCCTAGCACGTTGAGTGGCCAAGGAGGGTACATTGCTTGACCCCAGGAGTTCGCGATCAGCCTGGGCAACATGGCAAAAACCTGTCTCTATAAAAAACACAATTAGCCAGGCATGGTGGCACACCTCTCTAGTCCCAGCTACCTGGGAAGCTGAGGTGGGAGGATTACCTGAGCTCAAGTGGTCGAGGCTAAGTGAGCTGTGAACACCCCACTGAGCTCCAGCCTGGGTGACAGAGTGAGACCCTGTCTCAAATACAAACAAACAAACAAACAAACAACTCTGAAGAATCAGTTAAAGAGGGCAGAGGAAGACTCCTCTAGGCAGAGGGCAAAGCACATGCAATATCCTGCACTGGAAAAAACAGTATGGAAGAGAGGCATATGTACATGCTTGGGGAAGCACAAGTAGGTCAGTGTGGTGAGGGTGCAAAGAAGAAAAATGAAGGAACATAAGACCGGAGAGCCAAAGAGAGGAACAATATTGTAGAGTCTTCATGCTATGATAAAGGATCCTAAATTTTATTCAAGGTTGCAGGGAGACGTGAAAGGAGTTTTAAAGCAAGAGACTGACATATTGAGAAAGATCATCCCAGCTGCAGTTTGGAGAACAGATAGGAAGGAGGTGAGACTGGAGGCAAGGACACCACAGGGGCTATAGGAACCATCCAAGGATGAGATATGGTAGCAGTAGGATAGAGAGACAAGGCAATGTAAATGCTCAGGGGCTTAAGTCTTAGAGCCTGGTGATGATGAGATGTGTGGGGTGAGAAAGACGGGGGAGAAAAGGGTGACAAGATTTCTGTGCTGGATAACTGGATAAATAGTGGATCCACTGGGATAGGAGGTGGAAAGTAAAGCTGGTTTGGGAGCTCAGTATACAGTTAAGGATCTAGAAATCAAATAGCTTTAGTCTTGAAGCTTTAGGTCCTAAGGCTATATATACATGGAATTCAAGCTATAGTACTGCTAAAGACACCTAAATCTTTAGCTCCCTGCTAAACTCCAGAACCTCCTATCAAGCTGCTTTCTGGATGTGTCTCCTTTATTGTCTCAAAGGCACTTTAAACTCAGAGTAATGTAAAAAGCACACATCATCATTCTCCCAAATCAAGAATATGAATTCAAAGAAATCATAGAGAATCTTTTAAGGAGAATAAGACTGAAAAAAAATCAGTAAATATAGTGTAAACAGATCTTCAGTGAACATAGCAATGGTAATTTCACTGGCTGTGGCATGGAAGTTGAAATGCAGTGGGCTGAAGAGTAAGTGAGAGGTGACAAAATAAAGACAACATGTATGGACAAATCTTTCAAGAAACTCGACTATTAAGAGAAAGAGTCAAAGAGGGAGATGGAATTACTGACGTGGTTTCCAACCTTGGCTGCACATTGGAATCACCTAGGTGAGTTTCAAACACACTGACACCTGGATGCTTCTCTCAGACATTTTGATGTAATGGGTGTGGGGTACTGTTTGGACAATCAGATTTTTAGAACTTCTTGCGTGCCAAAAATTAAGAACCACAGATTAGAAGAAAGATTGTTCCTTTCAACAGTAAGAGACATCTGAAAATATTTTCCTGAGGATAAGAAAGAGACTGTAGTGAAGGAAAGATTGATTCAGAAAAGTGGAACAAACAAATGGAATGAGTTCCTTGAGGGGGTGAAAGGAGACGAGGTCCATGGGAAGGGGAAGGGATTAGGAAGACACCTTTCCCATTCAGACTGGGTTGGAATACAGGTGAAAATTTATTTTAAGGCATGGACAAGAGAAATAGTTGAGGTGGTCATCACCCAACGGCTTCCATTTTCTTTGTTAGTTAAGTAAGGCTCTCTGCTGAGAATAAGAGGAAAAATGGTATTATAGAGAATTTGAGAAGAACAAGTGATTTGAAACAGTCTTTAAAGAAATGCATTTAAGATACCATCACTTCCCACCTGGACTACGATAATCACCTCCAGACCTGGACTACGATAATCACCTCCAGACCTGGACTACGATAACCACCTCCAGACCGGGACCACGATAATCACCTCCAGACCTGGACTACGATAACCACCTCCAGACCGGGACCACGATAATCACCTCCAGACCCGGACCACAATAATCACCTCCAGACCTGGACCGCGAAAATCACCTCCAGACCTGGACCGCGAAAATCACCTCCAGACCTGGACTGCGATAATCACCTCCAGACCGGGACCGCGATAATCACCTCCAGACCGGGTCTGTGATAATCACCTCCAGACTGAGACCGCAATAATCACCTGCAGACCTGGACAGCAATAATCACCTCCAGACCGGGACCGTGATAATCACCTCCAGACCTGGACTGCGAAAATCACCTCCAGAGCTGGATTATGATAATCACCTCCAGAGGGGGATTATGATAATCACCTCCAGACCTGGACTGTGAGTCACCTCCAGACCTGGACTACGATAATGACCTCCAGCTGATCTCCAGGCATCTATTCTGCTTCTCCTTCCAATCCACTGACAAAATGATTTTTCTCAAATATAAATGGCATCGTGACACTGACAAATTCAAAGCCATTCAATGGCTTTCCATCCCTTTTTGGACAAAATTGAAAATCCTTCATATGGATTTTAAAGCCATTCATGATTCCATCCCAACATAATTCTCCAAACTCATTCCCACTACTCTGCTCCTCTCTCTCTATGCTCCACCCATCAGGGCCTTCTCCAAATTCCTAGAAAGTGCGATGCTTTCCAGGTCCAGAGTCTTGGGTGTGTTATATTCCTGGGCCTGAAACCCTCTTCCCCTCTTCACCTGTCCATTCATCAATGCTTTCAGGTCTCATTTTCAACATCTCTTACTCAGGAAAGTCTTTCGTGACTGCCTAGACAAGGTCAGATTCCTGTTACACATTCCCACGATATCCTAAACCGAACCTTATGGCTTTATCACAATGATGATCGAAAACTCACTTATGAAAACATTTGTGTAACATCTACTTCTCCTACGAGTTTGTAAGCTTCATGAGGAAACTGCATCGTTCCTGTGACTACAACATTCCCAGCCCCTCTGGTTAATATCTGTTGAGTGTGGAATGAATAAGAGAGAGGAAGGCAAAAGAGGACTGCTAGAAAGCACTGAAAGGACCGTGGACACCGAAGACCTGGAGTCTACAGCCATGTCATCTGCAAGGCTGTGTGATTTTTACCAGCAGAGATCACCAATCCAGGGCAGAGAAGGTAGGTAGTAGGGTTTTGACAGACACAATTTTTAAAAATGGATAAGAAGACAAGGACATTTACAGGAAATGCCTGAGTTTACTCTTATTAAGACTTAAAACTCATAGGGCAGAAGTTGTGATTTTTCTCTTTACATATCTTTAGGCCTCCACATTGCTTTGCACACAGCACATACTCAGTATATACTTACTGAATAAGTTAATTATCACACATTGAATCTGATAACAACATAGCATTTAGAGTACAAGCTGTGAGTCCACTTTTAAAAACAAACATGTAACACAGTTGTTTTGGTTACTTGATGGACCACAACTTGCTCAATTCGAGTCTAGTTAGCAATTTTAAAGCTAGGTCCCACTCAACTCTGTATTCTAGTTTGTGAACTCCTTTTCAAACACTGCTTGTTTCATGTTATCTGTTCCTTTTGCCTTAAATCTCTCCCTTCATCTGGTTACCGTCATTATTCATCATGTAATTTGTCAGAACTGATTTCATACAGAGTGCATAATCACTTTTTCTTGGTTACTCAGTTCCTTACAAGTGTTTCATCTTCTGCATATTTAATTTAGGGGTAGGAGATAATGCAGGGGAAGTCATCTCTCCTTGATTTAGCCAAGGTTGAAATAAAATCTGGGTATCTTCATAGCACGACTCTGGGAAACACGAGAGAGGGAATCCAACAGAATGGCAGGATTTAAAGTAAATTTTGTAATTTCATTGTATGGAATCTAACTGATTATTTTATTTGAAAAGATCAGCATAAACTATTGAGAAATATATGAAAAGATAAAACATTTTTATGAATTCTAAATTATACGAAATTTAACTACTTATATAATAACGATTTTAAAATTTAAAGTTCATTCAAGAACTCCAGCCTATGGAATCATCAATGGCATCATAAAAAACCTTTCTTCTGCAATGTGGATAACAGCAGAGTCCTTAAGTACCTTTGATCCCATGTACTCCCTTTCTTTCGTTATTTCCTTTTTCATCATGTCTTTCTCAATGGCCCTTTTCTCTTGCTGAGATGCAAGTTCTTTTTCAAGTCGCTCCGCCTGCCTCTCCAGCTCCTTCCTCAACTGGTCACACTGGATTAAAGCCTGCCAGGATAGAACAGATTGAAAGAGGAGGTTAGAATTTGGAAAAAATATAGGTAAAATGACATAATTAAGCTTTAAGTATATTTAAAATAGCAAAAACTCACTATAAAGCCCATTAGAATAATTTTTTATTGTTTATCAATACCACTTATTGACCTAAAAGAGTATCCAAATGTTACATTTATTGACATATTTCAATTTTCATGATTAAAGCCATATTAATTAATCAATGACAAAATTCAGGTAATGAACCTTGATGACGGCCACAGATGAGTCAGAATTTTAAAAAAGGGAACCAGAAACACCAAGTGTTCTAATATTTTCAATTATATATCATGTTTATACTACACGAAATACGTAAGTATCCAATTTAACTGATTTCTTATTTGCTCATGGATAAAAATTATTGGAATACTTCAAATGATAGATCAAAATACTAAAATGAAATGTTGAATATATCATTACACACAGGCATCTTTTGTTTAATACTATATAATAATCAAGTTTCCTTAAATATAACTAAGAGAAAATTTAGTTCACTCCCCTTAAACATACAACTGAAGTAAAAATTATGTAATAATCGTAAGTTAAATGGAAAGACTCAAGACAGTATTCACTACTTAGTTTTATAAGGATCTTCCACTTCTGGTAAAGTTCATGATTGTCCTTTACTGTAAATTTCCCACTCTGCATTTCCAGAAATAAAAAATCTCTAACTTCATTTTGGCCACTTTTACAATATCTTTATTTATAACACCCAATAATGAAATATGACTTCAAAAATCCCAATTTGGGGAGGTCTTTTTTTGTATAAATATATGGGGTACAAATGTAATTTAGTTACATACACAGATTGCATAGTAAAATCCCAATTTTTAAAAATCCTAATAAAAGTAAGGTACTATAGTATCTTATAGTCTTATTCCAGTGGCCCTTATGTACAATATCCACCTCACACAACCTCTCTTTTCCCCTGAAATGGTAGAAAGAACCCCAGGTCTCATGTGACTTACATGCTGTATGATTAGAAATTTCATAGTCACATTTGATTTTAATGGAGATGGAAATGGCCTTAGTAAGCACTGTAAGTTTTATGCATAGTTATGCTTCCCTCTGGTGAAAGCTATAATAAATACAGACAATAAATATCTAGGATATGTGAATTTTCCTCTCTTCATCTGGAAAGCATTAAACTCCAGTTTCTTTTGGTCTCTTCTGAAAAGTTTCTATGCTCCCAGGCATAAAATATAAAGGTAAAATTCAGTTGTCTCAGATTAACTAATAAACAAATACAATGAGTAAAAAGTGATTCTTCTAGGGAATTAGTCCCAAGTCAAAATTCCAGCCGAGAATGCCTGGAAAAGGAAATTTTAAATTAGATATTAAAATAAATGAAAAGGCATACTTTTTCTATAATTTAAGCCCTTGGAGCTTGAAATATGAATGAGTTACTTTTGTGATTCAAAATGTAATTGCTCTTGTGAAAAATATTTCACATGAATTGAGTAAATGTTCATAACTCTCCCTGATATCATGAATGCTACTGGTATGAATAGACAAAACGCTTACTTAATATAAACCAATATATCCAATCAGAAAGTTTTCAACTGAACAAAAACTCAGGAGTCATCATCATTAAGTATAGGAACAGCAGAAGAGACTGAAGATCTAAAACCAGGCTACCATGAAAGGCACCTACAGAATCAATTCAAAGAACTCAGTCAACTAAAGAACAAGCAACAGTAAATAATCCTGGCAGGATAAGAGGTGTAATGCCAAGATAGGATGATACAGTGAAAAGCACAAAGTGAGAAGCTGTAAAATCATGTAAACAAAACCACTGCTGAGGCCTTGGTTTTGTGGATGGTCTTCTCTCTATTAGGAATGGCCACCACCAATGGCTGATGATGAGTAATGGGCAACAAAACACTGAATAAAAATATTAGGTTAAAAACTGGTTATTGGCTGGGCGTGGTGGCTCACGCCTGTAATCCCAGCACTTTGGAAGGCTGAGGCGGGTGGATTGCTTGAGGTCAGGAGGTTGAGACCAGCCAGGCCAACATGGTGAAACCCCGTCCTACTAAAATATGAAAATTAGCTGAGCCAGGTGGTGCGTGCCTGTAATCCCAGCTACTAGGGAGGCTGAGGCAGGAGAATCGCTTAAACCCAGGAGGCGGAGGTTGCAGTGAGCCAAGATGGTGCCACTGCACTCCAGCCTGGGCAACAGAGTGTGACTCCGTCCCCAAAAAACACACAAAACAAACAAACAAACAAAAAACTGGTTACTGATGTCTCTTAGCGTGTAACCAACAATTCCATATTATCAAATAGCTTCTAAGGCCGGGCACAGTGGCTCATGTCTTTAATCCCAGCACTTTGGGAGGCTGAGGCAGGCGGATCACGAGGTCAGGAGATCGAGACCATCCTGGCTAACACGGTGAAACTCTGTCTCTACTAAAAACACAAAAAATTAGCCGGGTGTGGCGGCGGGCACCTGTAGTCCCAGCTACTCAGGAGGCTGAGGCAGGAGAATGGCGTGAACCCGGGAGGCGGAGCTTGCAGTGAGCTGAGATCGCACCACTGCACTACAGCCTGGGCGACAGAGCGAGACTCCATCTCAAAAACAAACAAACAAAACAAACAAACAAACAAAAATAGCTTTTACTTTTATTTGCTTTGATTTTAACGTATATGTCCGGTCACAGTGAAGAAAACAGAAAAGCGTAGTAACACTTGGAATCAGAAAAATGATTTATTCTTTCTAAAGATAACTCTCTCACACTGGACCGCACATACTAAAAGATTTGGGTCTAGTAAACAATTATTTATACACTATCTCCATTAAAGCTCTCTCTTAATTCTAGAGTTTCTTCTCCTAGTTTCAGAATCCCTGTCGATTGAGTACCCCTATAACCATTCAGTAAAGACATAATAACTGACTTCTCAAAGGCTAGGTCAGTAAACAATCAACTATCATCAAATGATTATAATTTTAATTTCTACAAAATTATAAATTATAATTTTAATTTCTACAAAATTATAAATTATAATTTTAATTTCTACAAAATTATAATTATAATTTTAATTTCTACAAAATTATAAATTATAATTTTAACTTCTATAAAATTATAAATTTCTATAAAATTATAAATTATAATTTTAATTTCTATAAAATTATAATTATAATTTTAATTTCTATAAAATTATAATTATAATTTTAATTTCTATAAAATTATAAATTATAATTTTAATTTCTATAAAATTATAAATTATAATTTTATAGTAACTGAATGCTATAAACAGGCAATTACCATTAAATGATAGATCTTTATAGGTGACAAAGTTAATTTGGGGCCTGCGGCTGTTATTTCTCTCAGTAGTTCCCAAGTCCTGGCTTCTCTCCCTTTCCCTGAACACGGCCCTTTCCTTGGTGGAAATGGCTGTAGGTCTTGAGAAGTTGGGGAATTATACATTCCCCCCACCCAGCAGACTCATTCCTGAAGGTACCTTTTCTTTTCTGGGAAATTTCTTTAGCTGTGGTCATTCTGTGTTGACATATTAACACTTTTTTTCAAACACAGTTTATTGGACTTGATATTCCCAGTCCTGGTTTTATTAAGCCAAAGGGTAGGCACTACTATCTTAGGCAGTCAAAATATTTTCGAAAACAAAATTTATATCTAGTCAACTAAAATTTTAAAACAGGAAACCTATTGTAGATCATATAAAAGTCCTTCCCAACTGCTAGGGTTAGTTTTCAAGAAATCTTTGTGACAGAATAATTCATAACTAAGGAATTAAGATCTTATGAAAAATATACAGCTCACACCTTTGAACATAAACTTTAAAGCTTACAAACATTTTTATTTTTATGAATAAAGCCCACAAAATTAAAAAGATTAACACATTTCAAACATCTAACTTATGAATAATGCAAACTATTGATTTTAATTTATAAACCCTTGCTAACCAGAAATTTATCAGTCTATCCCTATGTACCATTTTTCAAGATATTTACACTTCTTTTGGGACAGATAATGTGCAAATCAAGAAGCGTTATTTTCTATCCTTGTGACTATAACCAAATAGTCAATGCTTTTCTGATTTTATTTTTAATCCAGGTTTCTAATTCCTGCCTTTCTGACTCCCTGTAATCCAAGAAACAGAATAATTTGGATATTTGAAAAGGGAGAAAAAGTCTTTGTAAATATTTGTTCAACCTACCAGGCTGCTGTTTTAAAAACTAATCTTCAGAATATCACATGTAACCCATAAATATGTACAATTATTATGTATACATAATAATTAACTTTTTTAAAAAGTTCACACCACTTACCCACAAAGATATATGGCAGGATAGGTCTTAGCAAATTGGAAATACATACTTTGTTCAAGTTGTTATGAGTAAAAAAGAAAATTTTTTTTTTCCTTAGAGGGTTATATCATTACAGATATGCTTATGGTAACTTCATGCCACAGCCTGTGCCTTCAGGCCTTTACACATACCTCTCAACAATTTCCCTTCCAACACAAGCAGGCAGGCCTAAGGCCTGGTTAACCTTTTCATCTGCTTCGTGTAGCTTTTTATCAAGGTGTGACTGCACAAGCCTCTACTTTTTCTCTCCATTTAGTCCCAGGTGAATTCTTTTCCTCTTTTAAAATTATCACCAATTGAAATAACTTCCATTTTCAAACAAAAATATTTATTGAGCACCTACTAGGTGCCAGATACTTTGCTAAGTGGTATACATGGATTATTTAACCCTCTCAATACATTTTAATTGGTTCTTATCACTCAATTGAAGAAACTGGTACTTTGAGACATTCAGTAACTTGCCCAAATCAGAGACCTAGAAAGTGGTGAGAGTAGGGAGTTTATCCAAGGTAGTTCCACACAAGAATGTTTGCATGGCATTATATACTTCTCAAGTTATATATTTATTTTCTTATAAAATCCTCAGGCATTTTCACTGCCACAAAGAATGTAAATATATAATTCCTTCTATTTAGCATGTGATACCCAAATGCCACACTAGATGGCAACAAACGTCAAGGAACTAAACCAAGTAACCATTTCATCACTCAGTAATATAAGTAGTTGGGTTTTAAATTAAAATATGTATACCACCTGGCTTTTTAATGCACTTAGAAAGCAAAAATTCTAGTGTGTTTCAACATACCTTCTAGATAAAAAGTACTAGACTTGCAATACATTTTGTCCTTGCATTCATTATTACTAATTTACTGAAAATGCTATAGATTCCTAATGAACAATAGTGTTGCTTGCTCTCAGTTATTAAATTTTTTAAAAAATTAATTACAAATTTCACATTAATAATAATTGACTTCCACTGAACAAACATTTATTGTTAATTAAGACGTAAATGGTCATGTGTGAAATACAATGATAGATGTCACAGACCTGATTTCAAGGTCTTCTGGTGGAGAAAACTGTGTAAACAACTACCAAAATTATACACCACATCAACAGGAATACAGAGGAAAAAGAAGTTAATTCAAACAAGAAGGGGCTGGGGAAAACTTCAGGAAGACTGCCACTTGAGTTGAGCCTCATAGATTGAACAGATACTTCATAGATTATTACAAGGCAGAAAAATACAGCATGTGCAAATCAATGAAAATGGCCAACTGCAGGTCATGTTCTGGAAACAGTGAAGGTGACATGAAAGAGTAGAGTGAAAGAGAAGACTAGCAAAGTTAGAATGGGGCCAGATTTGTCTTTTATTCTACTGCAAGAGGGGAGCTACCTAAACAGGGAGATTTATAACTCAGGAACTATAAATGTTATGAGAGCACTGTGAAAAGTATGCTGGAATTAGATGAAATTTGAGGGAAACCAATTAGAAAGCTATTGTAATTGTCTGCATACTTGGTATAAGAATACGTGAAGTATACCACTGGACACGGTGGCTCACACCTGTAATCCCAGCACTTTGCGGGGCTAAGGAGGGAGAATCAGCTGAGCTCAGGAGTGCAAGGCTGTAGTGAGATATGACCGCACCACTGAGCCTGGGTGACAGAGTGAGGCCCTGTCTCTGAAAAAAAAAAAAAAAAAAAAAGCATGTGAAGATGTGAAGCCTTGAACCAGGGCAGTGGTATAAGAATGAAAAGGTAGGCATAGTTAAATAGAAATTTGACTCTGAAGAGAGAGAGAAAGACCTTGGGAACTGATGGAATGTCAAGAGCAAGCATAGGGAAGAACCGAGATGTTTTAAAGAATGCAAGCCAGGACTGCGGTGAAGATGGTGATGCCTTTGTTTGAAGACGATCATAGAGAAAATGGTAGAAAGAAAAGGAGTGGTAGATGGGAAGGCGGAGCCAATGAACGGTTTGGTTGTGTAGAGTTTCAGACGCCAGCAGTGTATCATCCATAAAAAAAGATCTAGTAGCAGCAAAACACGTAGGGCTGGGGCTCAGGAGAGCAGTTAAAGCTAAAGGCATAATGTGGGTGTATTCACTGGTAATATTTGGCCACGTGAGGAGAAATGAATCCCAGGAAGTCAAGGCAACATGGGAGGAGGGCTGGGAACTAACTCTGAGGAACGTCCACACTTAAGACTTGTGGAAACCAAGAAACAAGTTAAAAGAGACTTAAGAGTAGACAAGAATGGTACAATGTGGACCCATGAGAGTAACATATCAGCTAAATCAAGGGAAAGAGATGGTATGTTATGATAGGCCAGTTAACAGGGTTCCAAATCTATAGAGTTTAAGTCCAATGAGGATTGAGATGAGGTCACTGGGTTTGGTAATCAGGAAGTGACCAGTGATCATGAAGCGAGCACTTCAGTAACATAAAATCAGGCTACAGTTTGTTCAAAGCCTGGCTGCGATGCACTCAGAAGTGAAAGGAAAGCTACCAGGGTGGACAACTGTTGTGAGATGTCTGCCAGTGAAATGAGGAATGGACGGTAATAAACGAAGTGAAAGATGATCACAGGAAAGCTGCTTTTTGTTTACTTAAACAAAGGCTGTGGGCAGGATGAGGGGGAAAAACAGTGGAGAGAAAAGGATAAAGGATGCAAGAAAAATGTGATGACATAGAAGTGGGAGACATCAAAAACGGGGAGAAAGATGTTCATCTTGGGAAATAAGAGGGCCAGAAAAGAAAGGAGAAATAAGGAGAGGAGACATTCGAGGGATGAGAAGATGCTGAGGAGGCTCTTGTCAGTTGGTCCTAATCTTAGTAAAGTGAGAAGTAGGTCATCCGAAGAAAGTGACGTGCCAGCAGTGGAGTTGGAAAAGTGAGGAAAGTGGAGTTCCTGACTAGAGTATATAAGGTCTTCAACTGCAGAGAAAAGAATTGTTCAACAGTACCTACAACCACTGAAGGTGACTAGTATTACTCTTCAGTGGAACTCATTAAGTGGCTTTTTTTTTTTTTTAAGATGGAGTCTCACTCTGCTGCCAGGCTGGAGTGCAGTGGCGTGATCTCAGCTCACTGCAACCTCTGCCTCCCGGGTTCAAGCAATTCTCCTGCCTCAGCCTCCCGAGTAGCTGGGACTACAGGCGCACACCACCATGCCCAGTTAATTTTTGTATTTTTAGTAGAGACGGGGTCTCACCACATTGGCCAGGATGGTCTCAATCTCTTGACCTCGTGATCTGCCTGCCTCAGCCTCCCAAAGTGCTGAGATTACAGGCGTGAGCCACTGCGCCCGGCTATTAAGTGGCTTTGTTAAATGACTTCCTTTAGCAATGCTTGGGAGGCTTGAACTAGCTATTAAAAAAAAAAAAAAGTGTGATTGGGCCTAATTTTCACTGGGTACTTTTGCTGGCAAAGTAGGTAAGCTGGAAAGATAAGAATAAAGGCACTGTAGAGTGCTAGTGAGAACTGAGTTGCAATTTCCTTCCTCAGTGGATATTTACTGAGTACCTATTTATTATGTGTTGAGATCTACGCAAGATGCTACGGATTTAACAGTGATCAGGGTGGAGAAATTCCGTAACACCAGAGATTTTGTAACCAAGGGACTAGTGCAGACTGATTAACCATTGTTTAAGTTGTTACAGATAGCACTGAGCCAAAATTGCAAGTCATGTAGTCCAGGCATGTGCAATGGGAAAAAGCTTTAACCTCCTAATTGTTTTTACTTTATTTTTAATTTTTGTTGAGTACATAGTAGATGCATATATTTCTGGGGTACATGAGAGGTTTAACCTCCTCATTGTGATTACCACCACCCTGGCAGACTGGCTGCACTGGTATCACCTGGGGCTACTTAGAAACACCTCTGAAACCAATCTTCCTGATCTTGCCGCAGAACGAGGAGACAGATTTGAGTGTGGCCTCTTGCCTCCTTGCCAGTCAACTTGCAATAAAGCCTTTTCTTTTCTTAAAAGCCAGTGCCGTAGCATTGGCTTCTATGTGCATAGGGAAGCAAGCCCTTGG
The DNA here is from genome assembly GCF_000001405.40 of Homo sapiens. Taxonomy (NCBI): domain Eukaryota; kingdom Metazoa; phylum Chordata; class Mammalia; order Primates; family Hominidae; genus Homo; species Homo sapiens. Next base: position 334,234 of record NT_187519.1, on the reverse strand, counting down.
CTTGGTGACAATTTTAAAGTTTAACAGAGATTTCTCAAAGAACTTAATATAGAGCTACCATTCAACACAGCAATCCCATTCCTGGGTATATACCCCAAGGGATATATATCATTATACCAAAAAGATACATCAACTCAAATGTTCATCACTGCATTATTCACAATAGCAAAGACATAGAGGCCGGGCATGGTGGCTCACGCCAGTAATCCCGGCACTTTGGGAGGCGGAGGCGGGTGGATCACTTGAGGTCAGGAGTTCAATACCAGCCTGGCCAACATGGCAAAACGCTGTCTTTACTAAAAACACAAAAATTAGCCAGGCGTGATGGTGCACACCTGTAATCCCAGCTACTCGGGAGGCTGAGACAGAAGAATCACTTGAATCTGGAGGCGGAGGTTACAGTGAACCAAGATCACACCACTGCACTCCAGCTTGGGCAACAGAACAAGATTCTATCTCAAAAAAAAAGACATGGAATCAACTTAGGTGCCCATAAATGGCAGATTGGATAAAGAAAATGTGGTACATATACACCAGGGAATGTATACATCCATAAAAAAGAATGAAATCATGTGCTTTGCAGCAACATAGATGTAGCTGGAAGACATAATCCTAAGCAAAGTAATGCAGTAACAGGAAACCAAACACCATATGCTCTCATTTATAAATGGGAGCTAAACATTGTGTACACATGGACATAAGCGTGGCAGCAACAGACACTGCAGACAACTTGGGGGAGGAGAGAGGGGGGCATGGGCTGGAAAAGTACCTATGGGGCACTATGCTCAATACCTGGGTCCACCATATGTAACAATCCTACACATGTACCCCTCTTTCAAAACTAAAAGCTGAAATATTTTTTTAAAAGTTTAATGAAGGATACAGACAAACAAGCAATAATAATACATTTTGATAAATGCTATATAAGTAGTGGTTCTCAAATGGAGGTAAATGTGCCCACCAGAGGACATTTGGCAATGTATGGAGACATCTTCAGTTGTCACAACTTGGGGGAGGAGGGTAAGCTACTAGCATTGAGTAGGTAGAGGCTTCTAAACATCCTACAATGTGCAGAACAGCATCCAAAGCAAAGAGTTACATAGCCCAAAATGTCAATAGCACCAAGGTTGAAAAACCCTGCTATAAAGGCATATAAAGGGTACATCGAATCTAGACAGAAGAGATAAGAGGTTTCCTAGAGGGAGTACCATGTAGGCTAAGATAAGTAAGGCTAAAGTAATATACAGGCAGTGGAGCAGAGAAGAATGCACATGGCACATACAAAGACTCAGAGGCTGGAGAGAGGATGGGATAATCAGCAGGGTTATCACCACCACCGCTATTTATTGAGAAATATTTTGTGCCTGCCTGGGTTTGTATAAGATAACCAATATACATTTTAAAATGCAGTCCTCATTCACAATCCTAGGAGTCACATATTTCTCCATTTTACAGATGAGGAAAAACTGGGGCACAGAGAAGTTAAAGTAACTCGTCCAAGGTCACACAGCCAGTGAATGGTGGGGCCAGAAGTTGAATCTAAGTCTGGCTAACTCTAGTAAGCCCATGTTCACCCCCTAAGCCCTCCTGCCTTTGACGATAGCTGAGTGTACTGGGAGACAGGGCGCGAGAGGAGGAAAAAAGCAGCAGCCTTGGAGGGCAAAAGGGAGCCACATTAGGACAGACCACGGGCATGGGAAAGAATGTGGAGACTGTCTTGAAGGCAGTGAAAATTCACCGAAGAATTTTAAATCAGAGTCACATGATCAAATGTGTCTTTAAGAAAGATCGCTTCTGGCTGCAGTGTAGGGAGTGGAACGAAGGAGGGAGGCAAGCTAGGAAGAAGTGTAATAGATAAATCCAGAGATTACTTAGCTTCCATAAGAAAAGTGTTAATGAGGGAAAGAATTCAAGAAAACGTTAGAAACTCAGATCTGTACTTAGTGACTGGTTAAAAGTTAGGGGTGAAGGACAGGGTGAAATCCAGTTTTCTGATCAGAGCATGTTAGTGAGTAAAAGTGCCATCCAGTAAGAGAATACAGAAGGGGCAGCAGATTTGGGAGAGTGAATGTGTGAGTTCAATTTGAGATGGTAAAATTTATGTTTAAATGGGAAGAAAAGAAGACCAGCCTGGACACAACAGATAAAATGAGAGATAAAAAGAAAGAATGCTGAAGAACTAGAGGTGAAAATGAAGACATGGAGTAGATTTAACTTTGATAGGGAGGAAAGAAGAGCAAAGGCCCTAGTCAGAGAGTGTGGTTTCAGAGAGATCTTAGGGGCATTTCAGTTCATGCAGGATGTTAGCGTAGAAGTAGGGGATATAGTAGAGTTAAGGAAGCTGAAGAGTATTAGTGTTTTGTGTATCAGCAACATGGAAATTCAAACATTTAAGGATGATGAAAGAGATAGAATGAAGAGGAAAAGGATCAGATGTTAAAACTTTTAAAAAGGGGCCAGGCGCGGTGGCTCACGCCTGTAATCCCAGCACTTTGGGAGGCCAAGATGGGTGCATCACCTGAGCTCAGGAGTTTGAGACCAGCCTGGCCAACATTGTGAAACCCTGTCTCTACTAAAAAAACAAAATTAGCCAGGCATGGTGGCGCATGCCTGTAATCCCAGCTACTTGGGAGGCTGAGGTGGGAGAATCACTTGATTCCAGGAAGCTGAGGTTACAGTGAGCTGAGATTGCGCCATTGCACTCCAGCCTGGGCAACAAGAATGAAACTCTGTCTCAAAAAAATGATAATAAAAATAAAAATAAAATAGAAAGGGTCAAAGAGAGCCTTCTCAATTGAGAGATTTTATTGATTAGGGAGGAGAGAGACAACACTGATTTCAAAGAGGAGTGTGATATGGTTTGGATACCTGTCCTCTCCAAATCTCTCATGTTGAAATGTGACTTCCAGTGTTGGAGGTGGGGCCTGGTGGGAGGTGTTTGGGTCATGGGGGTGGATCCCTCATGAATGGCTTGGTGCCCTATTAGTTATCCTGAGGTCTGATTGTTAGAAAGGGCCTGGCCCCTCTCCTCCTCGCTCAGTCCTGCTCCCTTGTGAGGCTTGCTCCCCTCTGCCTGCTGTCAGAGTGAAATCTTCCTGAGGCCTTACCAGAAGCATATGTTGGCACCATGCTTCGTATGCAGCCTGCACAACATGAGCCAAAATAAACCACTTACTTCTCTTTATAAATTACCAATCTCTGCTCTTTCTTTATAGCAATGCAAAACAGATTAACACAGAGCGGTAGCTTAATTTCAAAGAGGAATAGGACCTGAGAGTAAGTGCCAAAACAAAGCCCTGGAAATGGCAGTCAGGAGTGAAGTAACTGCGGTTTCCTCCATCACACCCACCTGAGACGACTTGACTGACACAAGGGCCTTCACTGAAGGTTTTGAAACATGGCATTGAGGGACAGCTAGAGCTCACAACAAATGAAGAAACAGGAGAGTCTGAGGAAACAGTATGTTGGGGAGTTTGGTCATAACTGAACCTAAGTTTCAAAAGGCATGAGGGTCAAACGGGAAGAGTTATGGATGAACTGGATAAAGACAAATGGACATAGCAATGGCTGACAAGAGGCTTAATGCAGAATTGAATAGCCCTAATTTTTTTTTAACTTTTATTTTAGGTTCGGGGGTACATGTGAAGGTTTGTTACATAGGCAAACTCATGTCACGGGGTTTTGTTATACAGATTATTTTATCACCCAGGTATTAAGCCCAGTACCCAATAGTGATCTCTTCTGCTCCTCTCCCTGCTCCCACCCTATATCCTCAAGGAGATGCCACTGTCTGTGGTTTCCTACTTTGTGCTCATAAGTTCTTATCATTTAGCTCCCACTTATACGTAAGAATATGCAGTATTTGGCTTTCTGTTCCTGCGTTAGTTTGCTAAGGATAACTGTCTCCGGCTCCATGCATGTTCCTGCAAAAGATCGGATCTCATTCTTTTTATGGCTGCATACTATTCCATGGTGTCCATGTTCCACATTTTCTTTATACAATCTGTCAGTGATGAACATTTAGATTGATTCCGTCAATTTCGGTTGATTCCATCAATTCCATCGTTTACGTTTGCTATTGTGAAGGGTGCTGCAATGACAATTCACATGCATGTGTCTTTGCAGCAGAATGATTTATATTCCTCTGGGCATATACTCAGTAATGTAGCCCTAATATTTTAATAAAACACTGAGATTCATATATGGTTTAGACCAGTGCTATCCAACAAAACTTTTCATGATAATGAAAATGCTCTATATCTGCACTGTCCAATATTTGCTACACGTGGCCATTAAGAACTTGAATTGTATGCTAGTGTGTCTAGGGAAAATACATGCAACTTTAACGGATTACGGTGTGGCCCCCAAATACAGTAATGAATCAACAGTAACCTCCTATTCTTCAAAGTGCCTATAACACCGTCCGATCACTAAGTATAAACTGTTATTCTCATTAAGTATGTTTGAGTTACCTTACAGTAAGTCCAGACTCAAAGATGCTACTAAGACCGGGCGCAGTGGCTCACGCCTGTAATCTCAGCACTTTGGGAGGACGAGATGGGCAGATCACCTGAGGTCATGAGTTCCAGACCAGCCTGGCTAACATGGTGAAACACCATCTCTGCTAAAAATACAAAAATTAGCTGGGCATGATGGCCCGTGTCTGTAATCCCAGCTACTTGGGAGGCTGAGGCAGGAGAATCACTTGAACCCAGGAGGAAGAGGTTGCTGTGAGCCGAAATCGTGCCATTGCACTCCAGCCTGGGCGACAGGGCAAGACTCTGTCTCAAAAAAAAAAAAAAAAAAATGCTACTAAATATGTATATATTATTGTCTTTGGTATATTTGGATTTTCTCAAAACTTCCCAATTATTGAGGAAAAACATTTGTCTTTAGTCATATACGAACACATACAAACTAATGCCTGGGTGTTAAGATTTTTGCAGCATTGCAAATTATCAGCAAATAAAAAGATTAAGCATATAGGTCTCTCAAAGTATTATACTGTACTACATTCTCTGAACAGTGATACAACAACAGTATTTGCAGAGCAGTAAGAATTCTCCAAATAGCAAATTTGTTTAATTCAGAAAAGTCAACATTAACAGATTGATAATTCACTTTGTGTGTTTGAAAAACAAAGTTTAGTTATAGAAGAATAACCAAATAAATACTCAGAAGAAAAAAGAAAAAAAAAAGAAAGACACTTTTATTTGCATCTTATTAGACTTGCCTTGGTTTTTTCAAAATTGGCTTCCTCAGATATTTGCAAAACTTGTTTCACCTGTTCATAAGCACTTGCTTCTCTTTGCTGCGTATCTGCCAAGCTGCTCCTTACGGAAACTAGTGCAGACATCAAGTCATCTCTTTCTCTGTCAGCACAAAAAGAACATTCAAAACAAGAAATGATCAAACGATCCTGTCCTCATAAGTCAGGGAGAGAAAAGCATTAATATGTATTAGAAGAGCCAGGGTAGGCCGGCTGAGCACATATGAAATAAAGCACACCCCAGAGAAAGACCCTCTGTCCTCACTTGGCGAGCGGCGGGCGGAGCAGCCAGAAAGGCTAAGAGCCTTCGTGGCAGGACGGCATCTGTGCGGGACAATCATCTATTGTGGAGAGGGCTGCAGGGGAAAGCCCAGAGAAGAGCAAATTAGTTTTTTAAAAGTGGGGGGAGGTGCTGAAAAGGAAAAATGCAGCAAAGTAGGGAAGGTACGAATTGTAAATCAAGGTAGCAGTCAACATTTTAAGGAAGGACTGAGGCTTTGTCCATGCAGCAGATTCTCCTCTCATTTACTTGAACAAATATATGTCCTTTCCTTTTTATCTTTCTCCACAATCCTCTTTTTTGCACTTCTCTTTCAATTACATTCTTTCAGTTACTTATGAACACTTGTTGTTGCTCAATGATTAGTACTGTTGAACTCCTCCAATCTCCTGGCTATGCATATAACATTCACAATTTAACACAATCTTATCCCACTGGGTTTGATCATTGCCAAGACCCACCCTTCTTCAGCAATTCTCAGAAGTACTCTATCCTAAGCTGTTTATTGGGAGTAGAAGTGAACCAAATGCCAAAATGCTCTGGCATGTAAAATAGCAAGGATACAATCTCATTGATTAAATAAGTCCCATATAAAATATTCTAGGATATTTGCAATTTATCAACTGAATAAAAATATCCAGTAGACAAAGAGAAAGTGAGGCAGGAAACTTTCAAGACATAAAAAGCAAAAAATGTATGCTGGACTGTTACATATGGTGTTCCCTGTTTTGTTAAAGAGTTGAAGACTAAACCACGGTTTCAAATTCATTTGAAATAAATGCTTGCAGTTTCCTTTTCATTGCCAAGGTCTAAACTATGAGAAAAGGGCCAACTATGATTTTTTTTTAATTAGCAAGTTTTAAAGAGTCATAGTGTAGAGGATTATAAACTCTGCTTGAATTACTTTCAGAATTAACCAATGATTCAATTTAAAACATCTCTTAAAGGTAAAATAAACTATTTGTGGTATTTGGAAAGCAGCCACATTTGAAGAAACATGTAATACTGAACAAAGTTACAATTATTAGCAGTTTCATAAAAGCCCTTTTTGTTTAAAAAAGAATAAGTTGCTGCAAATATAAAATTCATGGAAGCAGAGTGATCTTCACTTTAGAATTTCCTGATTTGTTTTAAATTGATAAAAATAATTTTTCTTCCAAGGAAATGAAAAAAGAAGTAAATTGTTTTAATCGAATATAATCAAACACAATTACTATGTAAAAAAGTGGAAGAATCAAGGCAAGATTAAATTATCCTAGTTAAGTAAAAAAATAAACACCAGCAAAATTGAATATGTGTCTATTTGCATTTCCATAAAAGTTCTATAACGTAAAAGGGGTCTAGCTTTATCAAGGATATGCAATCCAGTTAGGATCTATGATTCTAAAAGAAAAGAAAAATTCACTCTTTAAGGACAGCAAGTCAATATAGGCATCTTACAGTCACCTTTCTTAAATCACTAAGACTTAATGAAGAGCAAAAGTAACTATTCAATGAGATTCTTATCTGTTCCTGATACCATGCAGTCACCAAAGCCAAAGTTCCAAGGAAAAAGAATGAACAAAAAAGGCCAGGCGCAGTGGCTCACGCCTGTAATTCCAACACTTTGGGAGGCCGAGGTGGGCGGATCACTTGAGGTCAGGAGTTCCAGACCAGCCTGACCAACATGCTGAAACTCTGTCTCTATTAAAAATACAAAAATTAGCTGGGTGTGGTAGTGCGCACCTGTAGTCCCAGCTACTTGGGAGGCTGAGGCACAAGAATTGCTTGAACCTGGGAGGTGGAAGTTGCAGTGAGCTGAGATCGTGCCACTGCACTCTAGCCTAGGTGACAGAGCAAGACTCCATCTCAAAAAAGAATGATCAAAAAAGCTCAGTGTTTATAAGTATGCAAACAGACAGATCCACAACAGGATAAAAATCTAACAAACTTGCTGCTTATGGGAAACTTACGTTTAATAGACTTTATCTATTTTCAGAATATCCTCTTGTCAAGAGTAGTGTTTGTCACACAGTAGATGCTCAACAGAATAAACAACAAGAAAACAAATAAATGAATAAAGAGTCTGCTATAGGATGGTGTCAAAAGAGGTGAGGTAAAGCTCCCTCTCAGTTCTAATATTTCATGATCTAAACTGAAAACATTACCTATTTTGAATTAGAAACTAGAGTTCAGTCGTTCTGGTTCAAAAGTGTTTCAGAATATTAACTCACCAAATTTAGACTATGGAACCACAGAAAATTATCAAAGATAAAACTCCAATATACAGATGTCTTGTTAGGCCCATCATTCAACAGTGAGACCACAAAACGATTACACTCAAACTCCACGTAACCACTGGGCTGACACACTCCTCCTTTCTGTAAGGCAAATGCAACGCATGCTTCAAGGTAGCTTTGAGCCCACCTGGGAAGCTTGCAGGTAGGTAGTCATTTTGGCAATTTAGGATTATCTACTCATTCACTCAGGTGTTACTAAATCTTGGTTTTGGTTTGGTTTTGTTTTGACTCAGCCAGTCCACATAACAAATAGCAGCAAGCAACCCCACAAATAATTTTTTTAGAAAGAGCTCTGGGCTGGCAGTCCCCTCTCCTCAACACAAGGCCTTGCTTCCTACTCCATTCCTGTGGCCATCTGGCTTCATCTTGTCTGAGCTTTCATTTTTTAGCCCACTTATCCCCTGGGACTAACAGTGCTACTTATATAATCTGCCTTTCAGAAACAGCCGATTCCAGCCACCCAGGGTAACTGCCCAGTTAGCTACAGTCCTGCTCTAGATCCCGCAATCCACAGGTCCAGCCCAGAGCCACACCTGAATGAGGCTCTCACAATGGGAAGCTGTACAGACACATGTGGCATATCAATGTGAGAGTGAAAGGGCAGTTCTCCAAATTACCATCCTCCATGGCAAATGTTCTATGAGTGCTTGGAAACACCATGTGAATGTGTTGATGAATGTAATCAAGGAGCTTCTTGACGCAAAGCCAGCAACACTGTGTTAACCCTGCAACATTCCATGATCCAGATGAAAGAGCAGCTGAGGCAGAAAGATGACGTAAAGATCATGAGTGTTCTGGGGTGAAAAGCATGTACTTACACGCACTAATGAGCATGTAATATTTAAGAAACTTAGCGCAGCAATCAGGGCCAAAAGGACTGAGAAAGTCCCTTAACAATCTCAGCCAAGTGTTTAAGCAAAAGAGTTGGTCTAATGTATATGCATGAGCTCCACCTTGAAATGTGGAGTGGCTAAGAAATGTCTTATAATTTCTAAATTACTCCAGTTATTATTAATTTTAAGCATTATTAGGTATCACTAATAAGTGTTACTACACCGTTTTTAAAAAGAAAGTCTAGAAGGCTGACTACAACATTTCTTTGTTCCTCATTTCTGGGAAGTTCCTGCTGTAGTCTTTTAAAGCCAGCTATGCAGAGCAGGCCAATGATCCACTCCAAAATCACAAGCTGGACTAAAGCCCCAGAAAAGTACCCTTGGAATCTTTTCTCTTTTTTGAAAAGTATAAACTTCTCCAAGGTACTGTGAGCTACAGAAAGGAATTTAAGCAGTTCCATCTTGGTTACCATGTGAAGGTACTTTGATCATTAAGCAAGAAAAAGAGGTTACTGTTACTCTTACCTCCCTTATGGCATAAAGAGGCCAAGTGAAAGGCGAAAGGTCGGAAACAATATGAAGACTTCAAATCAACATAAAAAATATATCCAATGTCATCAATAGTTGTTAAGTATATTCTCCAAAAAGTCCTTGAGTCCTAAGAAACCACCAGAAACATATGGGTGGCCTGGTCTCCAAGTCATGCCTGATCCCCTCCTTGTCAACTGTACAAGCCATTATTTTTTTTTTTTTTTTTTTGGAGACAGGTTCTTCCTCTGTTGCCCAGGCTGAAGTGCAGTGGCGCAATCTTGGCTCACTGCAACCTCCGCCTCCCAGGTTCAAGCAATTCTCCTGCCTCAGCCTCCCAGGTAACTGGGATTACAGGCGTGCACCAACACATCCAGCTATTTTTGTATTTTTAGTAGAGATGGGGTTTCACCATGATGGCCAGGCTGGTCTCAAACTCCTGATCTCAACTGATCCACCTGCCTCAGCCTCCCAAAGTGCTGGGATTACAGGTGTGAGCCACCATGCCTGGCCATCAAGCCATTCTTGTTTCATGAATATATATTCAAAATAGTAAATGCTAAAGGATGCAACAAAGGAGCTGAAAGCTGCTGTCACAATACCACATTTACAAGGAAACTTTTGATTTATCATATTTAAGGTATCATTTTTAAACATTCCATGTTAAAGTCATTCAGGTAATATGATAACAGCTTATGGAGGGGGCAGGCTTCTAACTATACATAAAACTAGAAATCCAAACCCAAAAGGTGCTGGACACTCTTCAAAGTTAGCATAGCACTCAATATTCAGCACTCTGCATTAGTTAAGTTAGGCCAAGAGAATGATACAGAAGAAGAATTCATTGACAATAAAAGCAGAATCCGCTCAGTGTTAATAGGTTTAATATCCTTTCTGTCATTAATGCAGAACATGAGACAATGATATGCTGACAAGGCAGAAAATTGAACTAAGTAGGTTGACATTTACTTTAAGAGGCTAAGAGCTCAAATTTAGGATAGAGACAAAGGAATACATAACTGATCAAGAATCTTAATTTCTGAATGACTGCCAGGCTTGGAAGTAACCAAAACATTATAGCTTCCTTTAAAAATATTTTTTCATAATCTAGAAGGATAATATAAAAGGCAACATAATAACTTGTTATTTCTTGGCTGAGTTTTTTTTTTTAATTTTTAAATTTTTTGTAGAGACAGGGTTTCCCTATGTTGCCCAGACTGGTCTCAAACACCTGGCCTCAAGTGATCCTCCTGCATCAGGCTCCCAAAGTGCTGGGATTACAGGCATGAGCCACTATGCCTGGCTTATTAGTTTTGCTAGACTACCTAGTTTTAAGCTCTGCCTCTTTTTATTTGCAACTTTTAATATGCTTTCCTCTTTCTAAAATTAATTTTTAAATTATATTCTCCTTGCAAAATTAGTTACCAATATTGTTAAAGGCCTATTTGACACCCTTTCAATTTCATTGCCTTCGTCCACCTCTCTAGTGGTTATCTCTGTTAAATATTTAGTGTTTACACTTTCAAATATTTTTCTGTGCATATCTATGAACCTCGAAGGGGAAAAATGTAGTATGGTTGTATATGGACTTAAAAAATACAAAAGGTTTCATACTAGATTTATCTTTAGCCATTTTGTTTTGTTTTCTTGCAACAATATATTTTGGAGATGGTCCAACATTAATACACATAGAACTACTTCCGTTTTTCATACTATGCACAAAATGACATAGTTTATCTAAACCATGTTTAGTTACTCTCCTTTGAACGATATTTAGGTTGTTCACATAATTATAAACAATGCTGCAAAAAGCATTCCCTATACATACCCCATTATGCATGTACTTGAGTTTTTTCTTGAGGGTAGATTTTGAAAAGTGAAGTGCACAATTTGAATATGAATGGACAGGACTAATTTACTTCCAAAGTATTTCCACCAATTTATGAACCCACCAGCAGAGTGAAAATACTTGTGTACTCATGACCTCACCAACTCTTGAAATTATCAATCTTGTTCTATTTTGTCAGTCTGACGGGTTGTTCTTTAATTTTTTTATTGTATTTCCTCAAATACTAATAGAATAAATACATTTTCATATGCTGACATCTTCCTCTTTTATTGCTCACTGATTTCTATTCTTTACCTACTTTGCAACTAGGCAGCTTGTCCTTTTTGTTTGTTTCAAAGGAAATTTATTCTATTGGTCTTTTGTCATGTATAGTGCAAATATTTTTTCTCAGCCTTTTAACTGAATATGTAATGTTTTATTGTAAGGGAATTTATTTTTTAATAGAAACAAATGTATCTTTTTTTCCCTTATGACTTCCACTTTTCACGTCATCCTTAGGACTATAACCCACAATTATAAGATATTTTTTATATTTATTTCTAATGCTTTTATAGTCTGAATTGTATCTGAGCCTTTAAACTACCATGAATTTATTTTTGTAAGGTACAGCTCTGTTCTTGTTTTTCAAATATAAACAGGCAAATTTTTAACTTCTCTGAACCCCAATTTCCCTAGCTATAAAACGGGGGTAATAATATGTACCTCATGAACGCTTGAAGATTTTTAAAAATGATGTTCTTAAATCTCCTAGCACAGTCGTTGACATATAATAAATGTTTACTACATTTTTTAGTTGTATCTGAAAATAGTTAATACATGTTTAATAGTTATATTGAGACTATATGAATAAATTAACAACATATTGAATACTTAAAATACTTAACAAAAACAGAACCAAGCAGTATAGGTCATAAAAACTACCAGTCGGGCCGGGCGTGGTGGCTCACACTTGTAATTCCAGCACTTTGGGAGGCCAAGGCGGGTGGATCATGAGGTCAAGAGATCGAGACCATCCTAGCCAACATGGTGAAACCCCGTCTTTACTAAAAATACAAAAATTAGCCAAGCATGGTGGTGGGCGCCTATAGTCCCAGCTACTCGGGAGGCTGAGGCAGGAAAATCACTTGAACCCGAGAAGCAGAGGTTGCAGAGAGCCAAGATTGCGCCACTGCACTCCAGCCTGGCAACAGAGAGAGACTCCGTCTCAAAAAACAAAAACAAAACAAACAAACATAAAAAACTACCAGTCAGTCCACACTGGAAATTCTATGTTCATATAACAATTAGTAGGTTAGGTCAGGTGTGGTGGCTTATGTCTATAATCCCAATACTTTGGGAAGCTGAGGTGGGAGGATCACAGGAGTTCAAGAACAGCCTGGGCAACATAGTGAGACCCCATCTCTACCAAAAAAAATTTTTTTAATTAGCTGGGTGTGGCGGCACATGTCCGCAGTTACTCAGGAAGCTGAGGCAGGAGGATCGCTTGAGCACAGAAGTTCAAAGTTGCACTGAGCTATGATTGTGCCATTACATTCCAGCCTTGGCAAAGGAGTGAGACCCCAACTCGAAAACAACAGCAACTCACCCCCAACCTGAGTGAGTTAGCCATGTGTGGAAATCACAGCTAGAAGACATATTGATCATTCTTGGGAGTATAGAAGGTACAGAATGGTTTTAATATTTACTGAGCATTTACTATATGTCAGGAAGTGTTTTAAGTACTATATAGGTTTTCTCTAGTGACCCCTCAAGGTAACTCTATGAGTTAGGTACTTATGTCACCATTTTAAAAATGAGAAAATTGAGGCACAAAAAGGTTAAGTAACTTTTGCAAGGTTCCATGGTAAGTTGGCAGTAGAACCAGAATATGAACCCAAGCAGTCAGTTTCAAAAGCAGTACTTCTGGTCACAGGCTAACCTGCCTTAGTAAAATCCCAAAAAGGTCTTAAATCTGAAGAAGCAGGTATTTTCCTCCAAACAACAGAAGATGCCAGGCTCAGAGAAGAAAAGGAATTTGTTGAAGGTCAGGACATGGAGCAAAATCGGTCTGACCTTAATGACCACAGAAGAAAGGAACCTAAGTCAGTTGAGGACAAAATGGGGCAGAGCTGATGAGAGACTTCTTCTAAAAGGAAGTGATCTGGGGTTATTTAAGTGAGCACAGCAGATAGAGAGAGGTGACACTGAGCACAAAGAAAAGTAGGGGGCATGGAAGAACATACACTATAAACTGCCACTGGGTTCTATATTACATAATAATTCTCAATTTCCACAGAATAAAATTTTCACAGGAAAAGGCCTCCTCTGGAATAGTGAAAACAACAAAACAGATGTACGAAGAGAATTGTTTCACTCAGCTTAGACGAAAACTTGGACAACACAAAAGGTCATCTGTAACTTGTTCTCAGTTAACCCTCAAATATCAATAGTGGGATACAGTGGGTCCTTATAATACTCCTTACAACAGACACATGATGAAGATGTGGTAATAACTCATTCTACCTGAAGTACAGCAGAAAAATCCAAGATATGGCAAAACCAAAGGAATTTCTATTACACTCAGTTTTGCTAAGAATAGTATTAGATTTGTAATCATAGATTCATAGAACTGGACAGAATCGTAAAGAACTGTCTAGTTCAATTCTCTCACTTGAAGATGGACTGAAACCAAGAGATACTATTATCTGTTCAAAGTGGCATGGTTTCTGTTCAAAGTGACATGGTGACATGGCAGAACCCACCCATTTGTCTTCAAGGAAGCTATAATGAAGGAACCTTTTAAAATCCACTGTATTTGAAGATTAACAATAATCACATGTGACTTAGCATAGGGCTAGAAGAACACAATGCCCCTTTAAAGGCAGAATTTTCCATATTGCCAAAGTCTCCGTGCGCGTAGAAGCATACTTACTTAACCAGTCTTTCGATGGTCTGCATATGAACATTAGTATGGGTTTGGGAAAGAACAGCTTCATGCTGAGCACATTTCAAACAAAGACCACCAACACGGTTACAAGTATTAGCAGCCAGAAGAAATTCTTTATGCTTTAGTTGCTCTTTAAGATCTTCACAAGTTCTCTGATATTCAGCTAAGTCGTTCCTAAAAAGAGGGTGAAAAAATTCTAGAAAATGGCCAGGTAAAATTACATGACTTTAAAATGAATCATCATAATGTTAACTACTACTATCGTTTATGGGTACTCACCTTATGCTTTAGTTTACGTCCAATACCTTATTAATTTTTACCACGACCCTGAAACTTTGGTGTGGTGATTCTAATTGACACGTTGAATATGATGAGACTGGAATAAATTACATAATTAGCTTAGGTTCTTGTAAGATTTTAATATAGATTAGAATCCGCCTGACACTGGCTCTCTTGTCCCAGGATCCAACCTCCATTAATGTTATATTAACCACAAAACAAAAATAAAACTCCAAATATAAATCCCAAATCATTTTCCTTAAAAAAGGGGTGGGGTAATATAAGACAACATACTTGAGGTGAGGAAAATACCCTATTTCAAGCATTAATCTCTTAAAATTTTTAGAGTGTCTTAAAAGTTCACATAAAAAAACATGGATTTTTATCCTTGACTAGTTTATTACTGCCCATTTTTCTTCAGGAGGAAAACATTACTGTTAGATAGATAATTATCTAACGACAAACTTCTACAAAGATCTGTTTCAAAAGAAAGTAAGTTACAGAAGGAAGTTACATAGAACTTGCCAGTCATAAGATTTCAGGGGTAGTAGCTATTAGCTGGAAACATACAGGCTGCTAAAGAAAGGGCTGGGGAATGGTGGGGGTGGGGGTGGTGTGGGTGTGGGTGTAGTTTTTGTTTGTTTTTACTTTATCAGCTCACCTCTGGATGAGGTTTTTCTCCAAGGTGACTTTTTAAGGATTAATTGACTAGTACATGGGTTGTATTTTCCTACCTTATCCCAGTAAAGCTGCGCTAAAGTCACCTTGGCAACTGAGCTTCCTTGCCTAGATGGTTCTTTTGTACTTCAAAAAAAAAAAAAACAAAAAAAAACTTTCTAGCTGAAAAATGAGACTACTGAAGGCAGGAACTTTATCTCCATCTCTGTCTACTCTCTGTTGTCATTGTCAAAGTCTCCACGCTCAGGTGCTGTGGCCATCTTAACTGGCTCACTGTCACAGAGGAGAAGCCAACAGCCTGGCTGTCAGACAACTGTTGAGATTTTGGGGGCTTTCAAGCAACGCAGGAGAGGCATAAAAGACCCACAGGCAATCTAAGGGTTAAAAAAAAACTTTGGAATGGCATTCCAAAGTTGAGGGGAAGAAAAATGAGCTGCGTCTACCCTATCCCCAAAATAATAACACCAAGATGATAAGTTTTCTTTTTCAATATCATGTAGGGAATGTCTGACTTTCAAAGGCTTTATAAAAAGAACTTGGGAAGCACATTCCAAAGTCAAAGGGTCCCCATTACTAATTTTGGTCAGCTCCAAACTCAAAACACTCAAGTAGATTTGGTTACTAGAAATGGCAAAAGAGAAAGTTAAAAAGAAAGTTGAAAAGAAGACTGATTTTATTTATTTATGAAAATGCCTCTTTAAATAATCTTAAATTATAGTAAAAGAAAATGAAGAAACAGAAGGATTCAGAGAACAAAGTCTAATTCATTACAAGTTGGTATTTTAATGTAATTAAAGATGAAATATCTGGATTCTGAATGAGACAAAATAAGTCACATTCCCTTAAGTACAATGATCTAGAAATACATCACTTTAAAAACTAAAGAATCAAGTCGTAAATAAAATCAAAATAAAATAAAATAGGACAAAAAACAAGAAAGCAAAAATTAGAGTATTTTTTAAATGTTAACATTTCTTTGTAAAAAAGTAAAAATCTCTAAGAGAAATCCTAAAACTAATCAGGGTAATCTATGAAAAACATAAGAACATTTAAAAAATAAACAACCATGTACAGTGAAAGCTATGAGTTCCAGCTCGGTTTTTTTTTTTTTTTTTTTTTTTAGATGGAGTCTCCCTCTGTCACCCAGGCTGGAGTGCAGTGGCATGATCTTGGCTCACTGCAACCTCTATCTCCTGGGTTCAAGTGATTCTGCCTCAGCCTCCTGAGTAGCTGGGACTACAGATGTGTGCCACCACACCCAGCTAATTTTTATATTTTTAGTAGAGACAGGGTTTTACCATATTGGCCAGGCTAGTCTCGAACTCTTGACCTCAAATGATCCACCCGCCTTGGCTTCCCAAAGTGTTGGGATTACATGCGTAAGCCACCACAATCAGCTGAGTTCTGGCTCTTAGTATTACTCTAGTTATGTCTCTAGATAGGCTATGGCCTGGAAGATTTTAAAATTTCAAATTGGACTTATTAAAATAAAATTATAAACAATATTTCAAAGTTTATTTGATTTAAAATTACTTCATTACTACTATTTAAAAATAATCTTTAACAACAAAAATATTAATTCCTGCTGTCTTTTTCTACTCATTATACATAAATCACTAATGGTTAATCTATAATATATAGGTCTTACTGGGATCTCTAATAAATAGATTCTATAAAAAGTACATGAATATTCATCATATATACTCAAATTCATCATGTATACAAATACTCAAACTATTATATTATCATTGCAATTTTAAAATTAGATGAAGACTATCTACAGAGAAAAAATACTAATAATTTGAAAACTAAAGTGCTTTATTTTCATTATTTTACTTGAATATCATAATTTCTATAAGAGCAGTTAGTGATTCTTATTTCTTTTTTTTTTTTTTCTTTTTTGAAATGGAGTCTCACTCTGTTGCCAGGTTGGAGTGCAGTGGCGTGGTCTCAGCTTACTGCAACCTCCGCCTCCCAGGTTCAAGTGATTCTCCTGCCTCAGCCTCCCAAGTAGCTGGGACTACAGGCACGTGCTACCAGGCCCAGCTAATTTTTGTATTTTTAGTAGAAACGGGGTTTCACCATGTTGGCCAGGATGGTCTCAATCTCTTGACCTCGTGATTCGCCCGCTTCAGCCTCCCAAAGTGCTGGGATTACAGGCGTGAGCCACCGCGCCCGGCCGTGATTCTTATTTCTACAAGAAAACACAAATATTTTACAACTGATGAAGAAATGGGAACGTGATTTGGAAAAGAACTCAATTTTAGGCCTTTCATCCTTTAATAATCTGAGGAAATTTTTTAAAGTGTATTAAAATGTCATCAAGTAAGTCTGATAATGACTAAAACTAGAAGTTCAGCAAACATTCAAATATATTTTAAGATCATTATGCTTTTGGTATGACTATAAATGGACGATTTCACTTTACCTCAAAAACTTCAATTGGGATTCCTCAATTTCACACTTTTCCTCATAAGTAAGTTTTAGCTTCTCCTATAGAAAAGAAAAATAGAAGTACATTTTTCTCTATGTCCTGTATTTTATAAGTAAACTTTAATTTTTAATATTAAACTCAATTTTTTTCTTTTTACCCAACGTGGGGGAAACATGTCTTCTTAGAAAATATTTTCCCTAGTCCACTTGAATTTTTCTATTTTTATTGTGTGAATGCCTGCAAAGAACCGCTGAGTCATAAAATTGATTTTCTTTGTCTTTCAAAATTGCATATATCAGGTCTTATCCCTAAAAGTGTGACTCTGGGGAAAAACAGTTATAACCCATAAGGTCCATGAGGGCAAAGATCAAATCTTATTAGAATCCTTCATTGTGGCTGTTGAATATTTGACATATAATAAATATGTGCTAGATGAATGATCAAAAGTAAAGTTTTATATCACATGATGATAGACTAACTCCTACAAGCCTCTGTTGGTATCCAGTTATTCTTTCATTCAACAAATATTTATTGTGTATCTAAGATGAAGGTGGCTTGAACTGCAAGGAACTTACGAAATATCCCAGAAAGGAATAGAAAAATGAAGAATTTCAATTACAGTTGACCCTTAAATAACATGGAGGTTAGGGTCATTGACCCCTGTACAGTTGGAAATCCATGTATAACTTTTTTTTTTTTGAGACAGAGTCTCACTCTATCACCAAGGCTGGAGTGCAGTGGCGCAATCTCAGCTCACTGCAACCTCCACATGCTGGATTCAAGCTATTCTTGTGCCTCAGCCACCCAAGTAGCTGGGATTACAGGCATGTGCCACCACGCCCGGCTAATTTTTGTATTTTTAGTAGAGATGGGGTTTCATCATGTTGGCTAGGCTGGTCTCGAACCCCTGGACTCAAGTGATCTGCCCGCCTCAGCTTCCCAAAGTGCTGGGGTTACAGGTGTGAGCCACTGCGCCTGGCCCCATGTATAACTTTTGACTCCCCCAAAACTTAATTACTAATAGCCTACTATTGACTAGAAGACTTAACAATAATATAAACAATTAACACATATTTTGTATGCTATATGTATTACATACTATATTATTACAAGAAAGCAATCTAGAGAAAAGATAATGTTATTAGGAAAATCATAAGGAAAAGAAAATAGTATTTTCTACTCATTAAATGGAAGCGGGTCCTCATAAAGGCCTTCACCCTACCATCTTCACATTGAGTAGGCTGAGTTGGAGGAGGAAAAGGAGGGGTTGGTCTTGTCTTCTCAGGGATGGCAGAGGCAGAAGAGATGCAGGAGTTAGGAGGGAAGGCAGGAGAGGCAGGCAAACTTAGTTAACTTTATGGAAACACGTGGTAATTTCTGTCTCACTTTGTTATGCTCTTTAATTTCTCCAAAAATGTTTCTATATGATATCTATCCTTCTTCCATTTGCTTTAGTTTCAGTGCCTATATTATAGAAGGGTCCACGTCATAAAAGAAGTCAAAAGCAGTCTTGAATAATCAGAACCCTTCTGCCAGATTATCTCATGTCAATTTGTTTCCTGGCACTGATTCTTCTATGTCTTCTTCCTCATTTTCTGGCACTGGTTCAGGAGCACTCATCTCCATCAACTCATCTTCTGTTAAGTCCTTTGTGTGGTGTCTATTAGCTCTCGAATTTCTCCAAGATCTCTATCTTGAAACCCTTCACTCCCAACCTTTTCCACCACATCCACAATCTCTTTCATGATTTCCTTGATTGACTGTTGTAAATCTTATAAAGTCATGCACCACATTTGGACAAAGTTTTCTCCAGCAGGAATTCATTGTTATGGGTTTGATGACTTTCATGGCTTTTTCTACAACAATAATGGCATTTTCAATGCTGTAATCCTCTCACACTTTCATGATGTTCTTGCTACTGGGGTTCTCTTCCATTGTGTTGAAAATGCTTTCCATAGAGTACCCATATGTAATAAGCCTTAAAGGTCCTTATGACTGCCTAGATCTTGAGGCTGAATTAGAGACATTGTGTTTGCAGGCAAGGAGACCACTTTGATGCCTTTAGTGTTGAACTCATGGGGTTCTGCGTGGCCAGAGCCATTGTACAATATCAAAAAACTTTAAAAGGCAGTCTCTTACTGGCAAGGTACTTCCTAACTTCAGGGACAAAGTATCAATGAAATCAGTGTAGAAAAAGGTTTCTCATTGTCCAGGCCTTCTTGTGGCACAACCAAAAGACTAGCAGTTGGTGTTTATCTTTTCCCTTCAAGTCTCGTGAGTTAGGAGCTTTATAGATAAGGGCAGTCCTGATCATAAACCTGAGTACATTTGCACGAAACAGTAGAGTTAGCCTATCCCTTCCGGCATCAAATCCTGGTGCTCACTTCTCTTCCTTACTAATAAATGTCCTTTGTGACATTTTTTCCCCCAGAGTAGAGCACTTACATCTGCATTAAAAACCTATTCAGGCAGATATCATTTCTCCTAAATAATTTTCGTCCTTTTTTTTGTTTTGTTTTGTTTTGAGACAGATTCTCACTCTGTCACCCAAGCTCGAATGCACTGGTGCAATCTTGGCTCACTGCAACCTCCACCTCCTGGGTTCAAGTGATTCTCATGCCTCAGCCTCCCGAGTAGCTGGGATTACAGGCACGTGACATCATGCCCAGCTAATTTTTGTATTTTTAGTAGGGACAGGGTTTCTCCATGTTGGCCAAGCTGGTCTTGAACTCCTGACCTCAGGTGATCCGCCCACCTCAGCCTCCCAAAGTGCTGGAATTACAAGTGTGAGCCACCACACCCAGCCTCTCCTAAATAATTTTCATAATTGCATCTTGGAACTTGTCTGCTGCCTCTTGGTCAACAGAAGCTGCTTCTCTTGTTATCTTGACATTGTTAAGACCAAATCTCTTCCTAAAATTATCAAACCATCCTTTGCTGGCATTAAAATCTCCAGCTTTATATCCTTTACTTTCCTTTTGTTTTAAGTTGTCATAAAATGACTTTTTTTTTCCTCAAATTATATTAGAGTCTACAGGTATGCTTTTCTTATAGAAATCCTGTACCCATATAAAATCTGCATTTTCCATGACAGATAAAAAGGCATTGTGCAAAAGTACAAAGTTTTTGTGCGTGTTGGCACGGCTGCAGTGATGGCTCTACAAATTTCCTTTTCTTTTTGTACAATGGTCCTTATATTGGATTAATTTATCTTGAAATGGGGCAACAGACTTGAAATGGGGATGCAGACTTCAATCTATGGAACATATCAAGCAATGTAACTTTTTCCTGTAATGTCATGAATTTGCTTCATGGGAGCACTTCCAGCATCACTAGTGGCACTTTGCATGGGCCTCATGGTGTTATTCAAGGTTTACAGTATTGCACCAAACATGATGAAAAGTACACGAGAACCACCAAGAGATCACTTTTTACTGTGATATGCAATTTACTGGAAAGACAAACTGTTTATGCAGAGATTAACTGGTGTCACATGATGTTTTAAGCAGACACTCAAAACACTTGAACTCACCACAATAGCAATAGGAGGTGGTTATGAAATTCTTATAGTAGTACAGTATGTACTACATTTTACTTTATGCTGTTATAATTTAATACTGCATCTTTATGTTTTTTTGCATTCCTCCTGAGAATGACTCCGTGTACAGTCTGTGATAGTGTACATAAGTTTTGAAAAATTTTAACTTTTTATAACAGATTTGTGTATATTTTATGGTAGTAGATGATAAAATAGACTATTACCTACATATATTTTATTCATTTATGACATACCTCTTTCTTAATTTTTTCATATTTCTAAGCTACATGGTTCATCTGCAAGTTTTTTTAAATTGCCACAAATCTCAAAAAAAATTCTGGTACATTTCTTCAGAAAAATACACATATAAGTGAACCCACACAATACAAACCTATCTTATTCAAGGGCCAACTGTTCATAAATTGCTCTAGTGAAGTATATGGAAACTGAAAAATTTAGAGAGGCAGGAACTCCTAATTCAGCCAAAGATAAGTAAAGAAGGCCTCACAGAGGAAATGTTAAGATTTGAAGGATAATTTCCAGTAGAGCAGAAGGCACAGAGGTTGTCCAAACCATGTTTGGAAAGTAAGTAGATCAGTATCACAGGAATGTAAAATGTGAGGTGGAGAGGTGATTGGAGATGGGCAAAATAGGTAAAGGTGGGCCACAAGAAGAATAAAAATATCAAGACTTTTATTTGGTACACATGTCTCCTGCACTTTCCCTCTAGAAGAAACACTGGAGGGCCACTGAAAGCTTTTTATCAGAATTGAGTCTTAAATCATAATTGAAGTGTGAAGAAAGGGAAACCAGTAATTACAAATACATAGGTAAGAGATAAGCACATGAACAAAAGCAATCAAGCAGTAGGAACTAAAAAGAAAGGATTTAGTATAGAAATATTTAAGAGAAAAACTGAGAATTTTATGACAGAATAGATATAGGGGAGAAAAATACACTAAAAATAATCCTGGGTTTCTGAAGTGAGCAATCAAGTGAATACTGGTACTAAAGATTTTTTTCAGACCAACAAAAAAAAGCAAAAGGGAATCATAAAAATAATTAATTCATGGCCAGGCACAGTGGCTCACGCCTGTAATCCCAGCACTTTGGCAGGCCAAGGCGGGCGGATCACGAGGTCAGGAGTTCAAGACCAGCCTGGCAAACATAGTGAAACCCCGTCTCTACTACAAAAACAAAAATTAGCTGGGTGTGGTGGCATGCGCCTATATTACCAGCTACTCAGGAGGCTAAGATAGGAGAATTGCTTGAACCTGGGAGGCGGAGGTTGTAGTGAGTCAAGACCATTCCATTGCACTCCAGCCTGGGCAACAGAGTGAGACTCCGTCTCAAAAAAAAAAAAAAATTAATTCAAAGAAGACAGAAAAAGAGGTAAAGGGGAACAAATAAGAGATAGGTAAAGAAGAAGCCAAATAGCAAGATGGTGTATTTAAACTGAGTTGTATAAATAATCACAATAAATGTCAGTGGTCTAGATACCCAAATTAAAAAGCAAATATGGCCAGGCACGGTGGCTCATGCCTGTAATCCCAGCACTGTGGGAGGCCGAGGCAGGCGGATCACCTGAGGTTAGGAATTCGAGACCAGCCTGACCAATATGATGAAACCCCGTCTCTACTAAAAATACAAAAATTAGTCGAGTGTGGTGGCATGTGCCTGTAATCCCAGCTAATTGGGAGGCTGAGACAGGAGAATAGCTGGAACCTGGGAGGCAGAGGTTGCAGTGAGCCAAGATCATGCCATTGCACTCCAGCCTGGGCAACAAAAGCGAAACCCTGCCTTTGTGTGGGGAGGGAGAAAAAAAAGCAAATATTGTCAGATTGGATAAAAAAGCAAAACCCAACTATATGCTTTCTATAAAAACCCACTTCAAAAAAGATACAAATAGGTTAAAAGTTAAAAGTAAAAGGAGGGAAAAGATATACCATGCTAACACTAATCAAAAGAAAGTGACATTGAATCAAAATACAAAACTCATGTGTTTTTCTCTACACTAGCAATTAGGAGTTAGAAAATAAAAATTTGGAAGATATGTGTCATTTATGATAGCATAAAAAATAAAAAGTCAGGAATAATTCTAATGAAAGATGTATGAAACCTTCACTCAGAAGACTATGAAAGGTTATTGACAAAAATTAAAGATGACTCAAATAAGTGGACTGATATGCAGTTTACAAGGATTAGATAATATCATAAAATGTTGATTCTCAAATGACCTATAATTTATAATTTAAAGCCATCTCAATCAAAATCCCAAATGACTTTTGGAACTTCACAATTCTGAACTGTATTTGGAAATGCTAAAGGCCAAAGGATAAAGAACAATGTTGGAAGACTTGGTCTGCCAGATTTCAGGCTATAACAATCAAGACAGTATAGTATTAGCACAATTAACTAAAACACAGTCCAGTAATAGACCCAAATATATATGGACAACTTATTTAGGAGAAAGGTACTATCATAAAGGCAAAGGACTACCTTTCCAAGAAATGGTGCTTGGATGTATAAACACATAGGAAAAGAACAAACTATGACCCCATATACAAAAATAAATTCCAGGTAGGTTGTAGATCTAAATGCAAAAAGTAAAACCATAGGCCAGGCATGGTAGCTTGCATCTGTAATCCCAGCATTTTGGGAGGCCGAGGCAGGTGGATCACTTGAGGTCAGGAGTTCAAGACCAGCCTGGCCAACGTGGTGAAACCCCGTCTCTACTAAAAATACAAAGTTAGCTGGCCGTGGTGGGAGAATCGCTTGAACCCGGGAGGCGGAGGCTGCAGTGAGCTGAGATTGTGCCATTGCACTCTAGCCTGGGCAAAAAAAGCGAAACTCTGTCTCAAAAAAAAAAAAAAAAAAAAAAAAGGCAGGGTGCGGTGGCTCATGCCTGTAATCCCGGCACTTTGGGAGGCCAAAGCGGGCGGATTGCCTGAGGTCAGGAGTTCGAGACTAGTCTGGCCGACATGGTGAAACTCCGTCTCTACTAAAAATACAAAAAAATTAGCTGGGCATGGTGGCATGCGCCCGTAATCCCAGCTACTTGGGAGGTTGAGACTGAGGAATTGCCTGAACCAGGGAGGTGGAGGTTGCAGTGAGCTGAGATCGCACCACTGCACTCCAGCCTGGGTGACAGAGTGAGACTCCGTCTTAAAAAAAAAAAAAAAAAAGTGAAACTATAATTTCTAGAAGACTATGTAGAAGAATTAGCTTCATGATTGTAGTTGGAAAAAAACTTTTTTAAAAGGACATAAAAAACAACTACATAATTAAGGAAAACAAACTGAAGTTCTAGCCATCAAAGCAAGCAAGCAAACTATCAAGAGAGTTACAAGCGAAGCCACAGAGTGGGAATATATATTTATAATATGTATACTGACAAAGGGCTTGCATTCAGAATATATAAAGAACTCCCCAAATAAATATGTCAGATACATACCTTAATAAAAATAATAAGAAGGATATCTGAATAGGCGGCTCACAGAAGAGGCATCAAATGGACAATAAATGTATGAAACAATACTCAATCACACTAGTAGTTAGGGAAATGCAAATGAAAATCACAAGATAGCACTATAAGTTCACCAGAAAAATTGACAATACTATATGATTAGTAAGGATATGGAGCAAAGGTATCACTCATGTACTACTGGTAGGAGTGTAAACTGATAAAACCCCTTGTATGGGTAGGAGTGTAAACTGATAAAACCCCTTGGAAGGTTGTCATTACCTACTCAAGTTGAACACAGACATATCCTGAGAGCAAGAATTCCACTCCAACATACATATGCAACGTAAATTTGTGTCATACACACCAACAGATGAAAGAATGTTCATAGCAGCACTGCTCACAATAGCTGCAAACTGGAAACAACACAAACGTTCCTTGACAGCAGATGGATAAAGTCATATGTTCATATAGCAGACCCACCAAAGAAAATGAACAAACTTCGGCCAATGTAACAACATGGATGAATCTAACAAATATAATGGTGGACAACAGAAACCAGATACAAAGAATACATACTATACAATTCCACTTATATAACATTGAAAAAACAGAACTCAAAAGTGTTTAATGATGCATACTTGAGTATTTTCAGAAAATTCAGGATCATGATTAGCTTTAATGGCATGAAGGGGCAGTAACTAGGAGGAAGCATAAAGTGGTGATAATCACATAGGTGTTCATTTACAGATAAATCTTTGAGCTGTAAATTTTTGTTTTGTGTACTTTACTGAATGTTATGTTAAATTGTGTCTTAGAAAATATAAAGGAGGAGGGTATAATCAACCAATGTACATGTTATACAAAGCTGCTACTAGGTTTAGAGCAATGAGGACTGATGGCTGGAAGTCATTAATGACCTTAAAAAGAGCAGTTGGGGCCGGGCGCGGTGGCTCACGCCTGTAATCCCAGCACTTTGGGAGGCCGAGGCGGGCGGATCACGAGGTCAGGAGATCGAGACCACGGTGAAACCCCGTCTCTACTAAAAATACAAAAAAAAATTAGCCGGGCGCAGTGGCGGGCGCCTGTAGTCCCAGCTACTCGGGAGGCTGAGGCAGGAGAATGGCGTGAACCCGGAAGGCGGAGCTTGCAGTGAGCGGAGATCGCGCCACAGCACTCCCGCCTGGGCGACAGAACGAGACTCCGTCTCAAAAAAAAAAAAAAAAAAAAAAAAAGAGCAGTTGGGGTGGACTACAGGGGGACGAAGCTCAACTGAAGCATACTGAAGCAAGAATAGGAGGTAAAGAAGTGGAGACATAAATATAGACAACTGCTTGGAAAAAGTTTGGTATGAAAAGGAGAATGTAGATGTAGGGTGATAGTTGGAAGTGAATGTAGGGTCAGGAGAATATATTTTGGGTTTGTTTGCTTTATGGGAGCTATTAAAGAATATATTCTGCTAAGAATAAACTATTGGCCGGGTGCAGTGGTTCACACATGTAATCCCAGCAGTTTGGGAGGCTGAAGATGGTGGATCACTTGAGGCCAGGAGTTTGAGACTAGCTTGAGCAGCATGGCGAAACCCCATCTCTACCAAAAATACAAAAATTAACCAGGTGTGGTAGCACATGACTGTAGTCTCAGCTACTTGGGTGGCTGAGGCAGGCGAATTGCTTGAACCCAGGAGGTACAGGTTGCAGTGAGCTGAGATTGCGCCACTGCACTCCACCCTGGGTGACAGAGCTAGATCCCGTCTCAAAAAAATAAATAAAATAAAAAGAATAAACCATTGATAGGGAAAAGATACAAGAGAAAGAAAAGTCCCAGAATGAAACCCTTGGAAAAAGTGAAAAACACTTGTGAGGTAGAGCACACAAATGCAGAAATTGACCTTTTTCATAAACAAGGAAAAAAGATGAGTCTCCAATAGTCATAAACACAGTGCTAGGGGGAGGCATAAAAGAGAAAGGAATTCTAATGCAGAAAAGGGAAGAGAGAAAACATGCTATTCGGGAAAGCAGAATGAGAGGGCGCATTTCAACTATACCCTGAAGACTGGAAACATTTCAATAGGTAGAGGGTAAGAAGGGAACATTTTGGGGAGGGAGGACTGCATAAACCAAAGCCAGTTCTTCAAAGAGAAA
Source organism: Homo sapiens (assembly GCF_000001405.40). NCBI lineage: Eukaryota > Metazoa > Chordata > Mammalia > Primates > Hominidae > Homo > Homo sapiens. The sequence goes on along the minus strand of NT_187519.1, from coordinate 307,734 downwards.
TGAAAGTGGATTATAAATTTATGAAGCAGCAACTGGTGAGTGGTCTGCATGCCTACAGATAAGATTTGTAAGAGTGACGGGAGAAGAGTGAGGCCGAGTACAGTGGCTCATGCCTGTAATCCCAGCACTTTGGGAGGCCGAGGCGGGTGGATTACGAGGTCAGGAGTTTGAGACCAGCCTGGCCAACATAGTGAAACCCCGTCTCTACTAAAAATACAAAAATCAGCCGGGCATGGTGGCGCACACCTGTAGTCCCAGCTACTTGGGGTGCTGAGGCAGGAGAATCGCTTGCACCCGGGAGGCTGAGGTTGTGGTGAGCTGAGATGGCACCACTGCACTCCTGCCTGGGCGACAGAGCAAGACTCTGTCTCAAAAAGAAACAAGAAACAAAAAACAAAAGACAGGAGAAGAGTGTGAAACTAGTTCGAACATTAGTTTGACGCAAATTGTGGATGACTTGAGACATTGGTCTTTATCCTATAGGTATTAAGTAGCTACTGTAAATTATTCAGAGAGGGAAAAAAAAGATACAATTTACTTAGTCTTTCCAATTTTCTTTTTTGAAGAAGGATACTCTTTCCCAAGTAGAATGAAGCTTGGATTAGGGACTAAGACAGGAGAGGGTGACTGGGCAGAAAGAATCTTTAGAAAACTATATCATCTGTGGATAATAATGAGAACCTGAACTATGATTCATTCTATCTTCCCCTGGAACATTCCATTTACAGTGTTAATCTCACTCTTTCATCATTGTTGATCAACTCTGACATGTCAAATTTAATGCAAAGAAGACTTCAGGTTAGCAAGAGAAGAATAAACGTCTGTTACATACATAAAAGGATTGAAAAGTATTATTTAGTCTTAAAATAGAATTGTTTTTGACGCTTTGGGAAATTAGGACGTTCAAAGGCAGCTGTGGGGGGGGGGGGGAATTTAGAAAGTCACAGTATGCCTAGGAAAGATACACACTCAGAAACATCCTGAGAAGACTGTAAGCTTTCACCTATGGCTGATCCCTAGGCTCAGAGCAAGCCTGGTTAAATGGGAAAAGAATGTCCCAGCACAGACCCAATCTGAAAAGACTGGGAGAGGTGGGTTGTTCTCTCTCTCTCTCTCTCTCGCTCTTTCTCTCTCTCTCTCTCTCCCCCCCCCCACCTTTTGGGGGGAGTGGAGGGTGTTTGTTTTCAGCTCCTGGAATTCAAGGAAATCTCTGTCAAACATTAGCTGAACATGAGCTAATAGAACAAAGACTTCAATAATCACACGATATGGAATAGTCTTCACAAAAATAGTATGGAAATGTCTCAAAACAAAAGGAGTATTACAGCCTTCAAAAGTAAAATAAGACAGCAAATTCTAGAAAAGAAGGAGTTAAAGATTTCCAGAGTTATCACATTACAATAGGGAAATGCTCAATTTTCAACAACACAATAACAAGGAATACAAGGAAACAGGAAAACATGCTCACTCAAAAGAACAGGATAAGCTGACAGAAACTACGCTCGAGAAACCACAGACATCAGACTTACTGGGGAAAGACTTTAAAATGACTGTGTTAAACACACTCAAAGAGCCAAGAGACAAACATGGACAAAGAACTAAAGAAAATCAGGAAAACACATTATAAAAAGGAACCAAACAGAAATTCTGGAGCTAAAAAGTATAATAACTGAAATAAAAAATTTATTAAAGGTATTCAAGAGCAGATTTGAGCAGGTAGAAAAACGAATTGATGAACTTTAAGAAACGACAATTAAAATGATCAAGTCTGAGGAGCAGAAAGAAAAAAGAATGAAGAATTACCATATGATCCAATAAGTCTATTTCTGGGTATATACTTAAAATAATTGAAACAGGGATTCAAACAGATTCTCATATGCCAATGTTCACAGCATAATTATTCATAACAGTCAAAAGATAGAAACAACCCCAATATCAGTCAATAGATGAATGGATAAAGTTTGGTAACATACATACAATGGAACATTATTCAGTCTTGAAATTTTGACACATGCTACAACAAAATGAACCTTGAAAATATTATGCTAAGGGAAATAAGCCAGACACAAAAGGACAAGTATTGTTTAATTCCACTTATGTCAAGTATCTGAAATAGGCAAATTTATACAGACCGAAAGTTGAAGAGAGGTCATCAGGGGTTGGCAGGGAGGGGAATGGAGATATTGTTTAATACGTCCAGACTTTTTGTTTGAGATGATCAAAAAGTTCTGAAAATGGATAATGTTTATGATTGAGTGACATGAATGTACTTAATGCAGATAAACTGTACGCTTAAAAATGGTTATAATGGTAAATTTTGTTATATATATTTTACCAGAATTTTAAAAAAGTACAAAAGAGAAAAAGAAAAAAAAGATGTATAAGAGAAAAGCACCCAAATACTCACCAGTTCTAGCTGCTCACCAGCAGATGCAGCTTTGCCAAAATCTGCATTGTCATGGGAAAATGGTCTTTTGGAGGTTTCGCCCACCCCAGAATCTTCACCTGTTGTAATCCAAGAATTGTGCATGTTTCCCTAAAATAAAATGTGCCAGTAACTGCAACTGAATTCAACTTTAAATAAACATGCATATTTTACAAATAAAATACCTATTCTTACCTATGATGAAAAGAAAAAGCATATGCTTCTACACTACAGGTCAAGAATCACTTCACATTTTCAGGCTATTAGGGTCATATTCTACAAGTGTTGCAAAGTAAAATTCCTTCAGGTACAGGCAGTAATCTAAATATGGGCAAAGAGGGCTAGATTTCAGCGCATTCAACAAATGGAATTATTCTTTACTCCTCTGAAGACATATACTCTTGAAGCACACACCTCTCTCTTAGTTTGTCTTTCATGTTCCATGTTTCATAAATGCATGGCTAATAATAATTTTTATCAAAATGCTGCTTTCTATGTTCCAGACCCTGTTTTATGTATGTCATATATATTAACTCATTTAATCATTACAGTTCTATGGGATAGATAGGTTTCATTGTTGCCTCCATTTTATACAGGAGGAAACTGAGTCACATAGAGTAGCTGAGGGTCACAGAGGTAGGAAGTGGCTAATAAGTGGCAGCACTAGAATCTGAAACCTGTCAATCTGAATCCAAATATATATGTGGTCTCTGTCCCTGGTTCCTGACACAGAATTCCTAAAACCCTGTAATTTCCTGAGTGACATGGGTGATAGGAGCATCTTTCGTTAAAATATTTGGTCTTAGTCCCGGGTTTCTGACACAAGTGCTTCTAAGACCCTTAGGATCTCCATGGTGATAAGAGTATCCTTTCGTATGCTAATAAGATGACTGGTGGCTGCAGTCCATGATTAGAAGACTAGAACTTACAGCCCCACTCCCCCACCTCAAGGGGGGAAAGGACTGGAGATTGACTTAATCGCCAACAGCCATTGATTTAACCAATCATGCCTATGTAATAAAACCTCCATAAAAATCCTATATGATGAAGTTCAGAGAATTTCTGGGTTGGCGAATGCATCCACATGCCAAGAGGGTGGTGTACCCAAACTCCACAGACAGAAGCTCTTCTACTTGGGACCAGCCTGGACCCTGCCCTACGTGCCTTTTCAGTTGGCTGTTCATTTATATCCTTTATATAATAATAAACCAGTAATAGCAAGCAAAGTGTTTCCCTGAATTTTGTGAGCCATTATAGCAAATTATCACACATTAGGAAGGGATTGTAGGAATCCCCAATTTACAGACAAATCAGACAGAATTGTGGATAACCAAGAGACCTACTATTTGCAGTTGGTATCTAAAGTAGCAGGCAGTCATGTGGTACTGAGCCCTTAACCTGTGGGTCTGATACTGTGTAGTGA